>NW_009646207.1:0-156562 GCF_000001405.40 Homo sapiens | reverse complement strand
GATCCTTTCTGAATTAATAAATTTATTACTTGTTTTTACTAAACTTATTTTGTTCAGCTTTTCAAGGAATGCCAGTTCACTCTACTGTTTTCAGGGTTTTTAAAAAATCAACTTGCTTTCAAAATCAAAATATTAGATTTTAACATTCCAGCATAAATCTTTTTATATAAATAAAACTTTTGTTGATGCTTTTGGTTTTTCATACGCCTATATTTAAGGGGTAAATCTTGAAAATATTACTAAGGAATTGGAATTGACATCTAATTATAGTAGTTGAGATAATATATTTATGTAATCCCTTTTAGAGAAGTTTAATAAATATTTTTCAACAGACAAAGCATTATCTCTACTTTATTTTTTTTTCTATATTTTGATACTAGCCCGTCCTGTATCTGTTGAAGAAGCTTTCTTAGTGATTCGTTAGGAAATTCTCTTTCTGGAACCCAGTGACAGTGCAACTCAAGTAGCGTCTCTACTAATGTGAAGTCACAACACTGATCATGTAGAACTCATGTATCTGATTTCATTAGCAAATTAGTAGATGGTGTAGGTTTCTAAGGAAGAGTGAACTAATGCATTCTCTTTGCTTTAGTTTACATTAAATCATTAGGGAATAGGGAAATAGGAAATTTTTTCTTTTGCCACTTATAAATGAATAAAGCCTTAGTTTTTGTTTTGTTGTTTTTTTCCTATGGCCCCCTGTCACTTGAAGGCCTTAGTTTTATAAACCAGTATTTTGCTTCTCTTATTGACCTGATTCAGTTTATTAGCCTTTTATTAAAATATATACTATATACTTCATAATATTTTATTTTTGTTAAACATTTGACTCTACTAAATTAAATATTTGAAAAAATCTCACTATAACAGTATTTTTATTCTAGAGTTAAAATGGTTGTATGAAAATAGTTATTTTTGTTAAAATAGTTTTATATATAGGGATAATTATATACGTTTAAAAATGCCAAGATTGTTACTCTAGTGTTTCAGTTAAAAAAGCTTTTAAAGGCTGGGCACCGTGGCTCACACCTGTAATCCCAACATTTTGGGAGGCCGAGGTGAGCAGCGGATCATGAGGTCAGGAAATTAAGACCATCCTGGCCAACAAGGTGAAGCCCCGTCTCTACTAAAAATACAAAAATTAGCTGGGCATGGTGGTGCGTGCCTGTAATCCCAGCTACTTGGGAGGCTGAGGCGGGAGAATCGCTTAAACCTGGGAGGTGGAGGTTGCAGTGAGTCGAGATGTGCCACTGCACTCCAGCCTGGCGACAGAGCTGGACTCAGTCTCCAAAGCTTTTAAAACTGTCTTGTGTGTGGATAAAGGTGATTTTTAAGAATATTTTATAAAATATTACCGAAGTTTATGTTTGTAGGTGTTAGCTCTCCCAAAGACTTCTTGAATAGTTGTTTCAGACGGGTTTAGGCCATAATTCTGAAAGAGACAGTTCTTTTTTTTATTTTTTTCTTTTTTTTTTTGAGATGGACTTTCGTTCTGTCGCCCAGGCTGGAGTGCAGTGGTGCTCGGCTCACTGCAACCTCTGTCTCTTGGGTTCAAGTGATTCTCCTGCCTGAGCCTCCCAAGTAGCTGGGATTATAGGTGCGTGCCACCACACCCGGCTAATTTTTTTGTATTTTTACAAAAAAAAATACAGGTAGAGACAGAGTTTCGCCATGTTGCCCAGGCTGGTCTTGAACTCCTGACCTCAGGTGATCTGCCCACCTTGGCAGGGTTTTGCCACGTTGGCCAGGCTGGTCTCAAACTCCCGACCTCAGGTGATCTGCCCACCTCAGCCTCCCGAAGTGCTGGGATTACAGGCATGAGCCACTGCGCCTGGCCTAAAAGACACAGTTCTTGATGCCATAATCCCAAATACTGAAATCCCAAAATATCGAAATCCAAACAATATAATTCTGGAAAAAATAATTTTAAAACATTATTTAAAAAATACTTATTTGGGCCAGGTGCGGTGGCTCACTCCTGTAATCCCAGCATGTTGAGAGGCCTAGGTGGGCAGATCACTTGAGCTCAGGAGTTTGAGACCAGCCTGGCCAACATGGCAAAACCCCGTCTCTACTAAAAATATAAAAATTATCTAGGCATGGTTGCAAGTGCCTGTAGTCCCCGCTACTCGGGATGCTGAGGCACGAGAATCACTTGAACATGGGAGGCGGAGGTTGCAGTGAGCTGAGATCATGCCACTGTACTCCAACCTGGGTGACAGAGTGAGATTCTGTCTCAAAAAAAAAAAAAAAAAAAAAAAAAAAAGACACTTGTTTGGCCAGGTACAGAGTCTCACACCTGTAATCTCAGTATTTTGGGAAGCCAAGGTGGGCAGATTGCTTGAGCCCAGGAGTTCAAGATCAGCCTGGGCAACGTGGAGAAACCCTGTCTCTACAAAAAAATACAAAAATTAGCAAGCTAGCGTGCACCTATAGTCCAGCTACTTGGGAGACTGAGGTGGGAGGATCTCTTGGGTCTGGGAGGCAGAGGTTGGAGTGAGCTGTGATGGCGCTGTCTGGGCAACAGAGCAAGACTTTGTCTTCAATAAACAAACAGAAAAACCACTTATTTACCTTTTTTAAAGGGGATTTATTTGAGAAACAAAAACATGACAACACTTCATAGGCCACTTAATATAGTTTGGATATGTGTCCCTGCCCAAATCTCATGTTGAATTGTAATCCCCAATATTGGAAGTGGAGGCTGGTAGGAGGTGATTGGATTATGTGGGTGGATTTTTCATGAATGGTTTAGTACCATCCCCTTGATGCTGTCCTCGAGACGGTGAGCGACTTCTCGCGAGATCTGGCTGTTTTAAAAGTGTGGCACCTCACACTCTCTCTTGCTCAGTCCTCATCATGTGATGTGCCTGTTCCCCCTTTGCCTTCTGCCATGATTGGAAGCTTCCTGAGGCCTTCCTGGAAGCAGGTGCCACTATGCCTCCTGTACAGCCTGCAGAACTGTAAGCCAATTAAATCTCTTTTCTTTTAAGTATTCCTTCATAGCAATGCAGGAACAGCCTAGTACACCACTTTACACAATAAAATAGTAACAAATGTATTTTGCAAGTTTAATCACTCAGTATACTAACCGTAGTTGCATGGGTGTTACATTTTGTAACTGTGGTCCTCTGAAATACCATGATGGACAAACTAGGTCTTTTGATGAGGTAGTAAAAACAAGGATGGGTCATCACTGTGTGTGCAGTCTCCTGAAGAGCAGAGATATTGTTGAATTTTATCTTTCACAAAAACAGTATAAAAAAAGGACATCTCATTGAAGGTTCACCTTTTTTTTTTTTTTTTTTTTTTGAGATGGAGTTTCACTGTTGTTGCTGAGGCTGAAGTGCAATGGTGTGGTCTCGGCTCACTGCAACCTTTGTCTCCTGGGTTCAGGCGATTTTCCTGCCTCAGCCTTCCAAGTAGCTGGGATTACAGGCGCCCCGCCACCACGCCTGGCTAATTTTTGTATTATTAATTTTTGTAGAGACAGGATTTCACCGTATTGGCCAGGCTGGCCTCGAACTCCTGACCTTGGGTGATCTGCCCGCCTTGGCCTCACAAGTGCTGGGATTACAGATGTGAGCCACCGTGCCTGGCCAGTTTCAACTTTTTTTAAAGAGACCATAGTCTTCTAGCTATGTTGCCCATGCTGGAGTGCAGTGACTATTCACAGGCATGATCATAGTGCACTTCAGCCTCAAACTCCTGGCCTCAAGTGATCCTCCTACCTCAGCCTCCCTAGTAGCCGGGACTGACTACAGGTGCTCCACCACACCTGGCTTCTACGTTTTGATGAACACAGCCAGAGCTTACACATGAAGTCAGTGTTGTGATAATGCACTTCTGTGGAGTTCAGTTTGCAAAAAAAAAATGCATAGAATTAATTAGAACTCTCCAAAAGTCTCTACACAATTTATATCTCCAGTATTAGAAATGATGTGAAGATAAAATATATAGCATAGCAAATTGGCACTATGTGTGAAGGAGCAGAAATAATACACCATTGAATAATTTGGCAGGGGAGATTTCTTGTATTTTTTGCCTGTATTTTCACTTCTGCGATCTTCAAAGCACTTGCTCCAGTTTTATTTGCAAAGTGGTTGTGATCCACAAATTTTGTAAGTATATACTGTCTATTTGAAAGCCTGATTATTGCCTGGCCGTTGCAATTTCTGCTTTTGCAGCACCAGTGATAATTAGCTTTTAAACTTTTATCTTTCGCCATTAAGTAGCCGTGTACACTTATCAGAGCCTTTTTGCGAGGGAAGAGTTTCACAGATCTCTTCAATTGTGCTGTAAAGAATAAAGTAAGAAGAACTGATACTCAGCTTCCCCAACACCAAATCTGCATTAGTCAGGGTTCCCTAGGGAGACAGAACCAATAGGATATGTGTATAGATATGAGGGAATTTATTAGGGGAATTGGCTCATATGATTAATGGTGGCTGAGAAGTCCCATGACAGATCATCTGCAGGCTTGAGACCCTGGGATGCCAGTAGCATACCTCAGTCCAAATCCAAAGGCCTCAGAACCAGGGAAGCTAATGGTGTTATCTCTCGGTCCAAGGTCAAAAAGCCTCAGAATTCAGGGGGCCACTGGTTAAGTCCTGGAGTCCAAAGGCTGGCAAGCCTGGAGTTCTGATGTCCAAGGCAGCAGAAGAAAAGTCTGTTCTAGCTCTCAGCAATTCACCTTCTGTGTACTCCCTGGGCTCCTGGCTGATTGGATGATACCCACCAACATAGAGGGCTCTCCTTGCCTACTCAGACTCGCACACTAATCTCTGAAAACATCCTCACAGACACACACACAACACAGTGCTTTACCAGGTTTCTAGGTGTTCCTGTCAAGTTGATAGCTAAAATTAAGTCCACAAATCTATCCTCGGCAACTTGGTACCCATAGGCATCTCCTTAAACCATACTTAATTTCCAGATAATGACAATAGCAAGGTCATAGTTCCACCTAGCATGGTGTAACTATTGTGTACAACCAAAACTATGCAAATTCCCTGCCCCAAAATTCGGCTTTTGGGATTTCATCATTTGGGATTTTAATCTTTTGGGGTTGTGGTTTTAAACATTAGGGATTTTTAGACTTTAGTCTTTTGGGATTTTAACATTCAGGATTATGGCATTTGGGATTATGATTGGTACTGATTGCAGACAGTTTTTGCTAAATCTAGTGTTTAGATATAGCAGCAAAATAATTTCTATGTATATTTAATCACTGATGTAGTAAATCAGTAGTTAATATTTACAGATCCCTTACCCAGTACCAGGCACAGTGCACGTTTTATATTCATTATTTAATTCTCTCAGAATAACCCAATAAAGTCAGTATTTTATCTGTAAAACGGGGATAAAGAAACAGACTGAAGAGAGATTCATTCATTTGGAAGAGGTTCCTCAGCCACCAAGTGATAGAGCCAGGGCTGGCATGCAACTCTATGTGGCTTCAAAACCTGTTTCTCCCTTTTAGTGTAAAATGTATACTTTGTAAAAATGTACACCATGTGGCTGCTGCTTTCTCCCCACACTGACAGGCTTTCCCTGCCCACCTGAGCCCAGGCAGCGCCCACATGAGTACGTGCTCTCTCCCTCAGCCCTGTTCTCCCTTCACAGCAATTATCTGACAGTCTTGTCTTGTATCTGTTTCCTTCACAAAATGTAAGCACCATGGGATGGAAACTTTGCCTACTCCATCCCTGTCTGCATCCATGTTTCCTAGAGTAGTGCCTGACACACAGTAGGAGCCAACATATTTGTTGTAAAGGCTATGAACCAGAAGGTTGTATCAGTCTACAATATTCACTTTTTAAGTCACTTCTGTAGAACAGACTATTAATTTTTTCTTTCTAGTTAGTGATTTTAAGTGAGGAAATTGAAGAGAGGTGTCTTGAAGAGATGCGGAGGAACCAGTCAAGTAGGAGACAGGTCAAGGCTTGTGGAAGTAGAGATTGGTAGTGGTTTAAATGAGCATGGTGCTGGACCTGCCTGAGCTCTTGTAGCTTCGTGAATAGTAACCTTTCTTCCCCAGTCCCTGGTCTAGTGTCTTCCCAACTACTGCCAGAAAATCTTCTGAAAGGTAGCTCTTGTCGTATCCTTTTCATTTGTGTACTGAGTTAAATTTAGACACCTTGCCTTGGTCTTCAGGGTTCCATGGTAGGACCCTGCCCTGCCTCTCTAACCACATCTCCTGGTTTCCCCAGTTGTATCCTCTGCTGCAGCTCGGTGTCCCCAGAGGTGCCTTTATTTCCAGGTCTGGGTCCGTGTCCTCTTTTCTGTTCTCCATCTTATCTTTTTTTTTTTTTTTTTTGAGATGGAGTCTCGCTCTATCACCCAGGCTGGAGTGCAGTGGCACCATCTCGGCTCACTGCAAGCTCCGCCTCCCGGGTTCATGCCATTCTCCTGCCTCAGCCTCCTGAGTAGCTGGGATTACAGGCGCCTGCCACCACGCCAAGCAAATTCTTATATTTTTAGTAGAGATGGGATTTCACCATGTTGACCAGGCTGGTCTCTAACTCCTGACCTCAGGTGATCCACCTGCCTCGGCCTCCCAAAGTGCTGGGATCACAGGTATGAGCCACCGCGTGCAGCCTGTTCTCCATCTTTTGAGATAGTTATATTTCAAGGCCTTTCTCAAATGTTACTTTTCTCCATGAAATCTAACATTCCCTTAACTGGATGTTTCCTTCATGACGTTTGTAATTTTCTGGTGCACCTTTAATCTTTGCTTTTTGCTTTTTATTATACCTTTCTTTTTTCCTTTTTTTTTTTTTTTTAATTTTTTGAGACAGAGTCTTGCTCTGTCCCCCAGGCTGGAGTGCAGTGGCGCAATCTCGGCTCACTGCAACCCCTGCTTCCCAGGTTCAAGCAGTTCTCCTGCATCAGCCTCCCAAGTAGCTGGGATTACAGGCACCCGCCACCACGCCTGGCTAATTTTTGTATTTTTGGTAGAGATGGCGTTTCACCATGTTGGCCAGGCTGGTCTCAAACTCCTGACCTCGTGATCTGCCTGCCTCAGCCTCCCAAAATGCTGGGATTACAGGCGTGAGCCACCGTGCCCAGCCTATTATACCTTTCTAAATGTGTTCTTGCCCTCCTTCCCCAGTCCTCCCTGAGGGCAAGATTATGGTATTGGCACTTGCCGTATCCTCTACGGTGCATTGAACACATGAACAAGCAATCATTTTAGAGGTAGAGAAAAACACGTACGAGAAAAAGGCAAACAATGGTATTTAGTTTTGGTGTAGGGAAGACTTGTCCTTTTCCAAGGATTAGTTTTGGTGGTCAGGAAGCTTTTTGAAGCCAGGAGAAACAATGTAGGTAAAGAATTAAGTATATTGAGGCCAGGCCTGGTGACTCATGCCTGTATCCCAGCACTTTGGGAGGCCGAGGCGGATGGGTCACTTGAGGTGAGGTAAAGAGTTTAAGACCAGCCTGGCCAACATGGCGAAACCCTGTCTCTACCAAAAATACGAAAGTTAGCTGGGCGTGGTGGCATGCGCCTGTAACGCCAGCTACACGGAGGCTGAGGTAAGAGAATCACTTGAACCTGGTAGGTGGAGGTTGCAGTGAGCCAAGATCACACCAGTGCACTCCAGCCTGGGTGACAGAGTGAGACTCCATCTCAGAAAAAAAAGAAAAAAGAAAAAGAATTAAGCAAATTGGGTCTAGTATTTTAGAGTAGAAGAAAAGAAACCAAATGGGGAAACGACTGAGAAGCACCATTTTTCAGAGTTTGGGGATGAGTCCTAGTACTTGTCCTCAGGGTGTTCAACAGTATTGTGTGGGAAACAGACAACTAGATCATTGATAATACGTTGTAAAAATTTGACCATAGAGCTGGCTGTGGTGGCTCATGCCTGTAATTCCATCTATTCAGGGGCTGAGGTGGGAGGATTGCTTGAGGCGAGGAGTTGGAGACCAGTCTGGGCAACGTAGTGAGACCTTCTCTCCAAAAAATACATAAATAAAATTTAAAAATAAAATTGGCCATAGAGAGGGAAAGGCGCTAGAAAACATTGGTTAATTCTACCAAAGCTTAGTAAGAGCTAGTGATCTTAGCAAAATTGAGGTCCTGAGCAGGTGGGCAGAAAGGTTGACATCGCGCTGGAGGAAGCTGTCTTAGGGTGAATACATGAATTGTCTTGACCCCCTTAAAAGGGCATTGCAGAAGGTATCACAATATTTTAGGAAGATGATGGTGAAAGGTTAGTTTTTAGTACTAGGACTCAGTTCTTAAGGGAGAAGTAGGTCAGTGTTCAAAGAAACAATATTTAATTTAGTGTTAGAAACCTCCCAGATAGCATCTTGTTCTTCCACGTTTCATGTTTTTGCAGGGCCGAGATGAGTAGCCATGGGAATGAGACAGGAGTAAAGGAGGCTGGACACAGTAGTTGACGCCTACAATGGGATGCTAGGTGGGAGGATCACTTGAACCCAGGTGTTGGAGACCAGCCTGGGCAGCATAGTGAGACCTCGTCTCTACAAAATTAAAAATAGCCGGGCATAGTGGTGCATGCCTGTAGTCCCAGCTACAAAGAGAAAAAAAGGAGTAAGGGAGATAACTAAAGGGGAAGACTATGTAATGAATTACTTGCTCTTGCATGTCCTAGGTTCTTCTCAGTTACACCTTTTTAGAGATTTTTTTTCTTTTTCTTTTTCTCTTCTGAGACAGGATCCGGCTCTGTTGCCCAGGCTGGAGTGCAGTGGCATGATCACGGCTCACTGCAATCTCCGCCTCCCAGGCTGAAGCAAATCTTGTGCCTCAACCACCCCAGTAGCTAGGATTACAGGTGCGCACCACCATGCCCAGCTGATTTTGGTATTTTTTTTTGTAGAGATGGGGTTTCGCCATGTTGTCCAGGCTGGTCTTGAACTCCTGAACTCAAGTGATCCTCCTGCCTCAGCCTCCCAAAGTGTTGGGATTACAGGTGTGAGCCACTGCGCCCAGCCAGATTTTTTTAAATTGATATGAAATTCACGTGACAAAATTAATCATTTTTAAGCGAACACTCGAGTGGCGTTTGCTGCATTCACAATGTGTGCACCCATAACAACCTGTATCTAGTCCCAAAGTAAACCTGCTACCCATTAAGCAGTTACTCCCCTTGCCCTCTTCTGCCAGTCCTTTGCAACCACCGATCTGCTTTCTGTTTTTAGATTTACTTCTTTTGGATATTTCATTAGATGGAATCGTACAATATGTGACCTTTCATGTCTGACTTCTTTCACTTAGCGCGTAGTGTTTTGAGATTTATCTACATTGTATTGTGTATGAGTACTTCATTCCTTTTCATGGCTGAATACATACTCAGTTTTATGTATATACCACAATCTGTTCATCCGTTCATCTGTTGATGGACATTTCGGTTGTTTCCACCTTTTGGCTATTTTGAATAGTGCTGCTATGAACATGTGTGTATATCTATTTGTTTGGATACCTGTTTTCACTTATTTTGAGTATATACCTAGGAATGGAGTTGCTGGATCGTGTAATTCTGTATTCAACTTTTTGAAGAACCACCAGACTTTTTCACAGTGGCTGAATATTTTATATTCCCATGTGTGGCCCAGGCTGGAGGGCAGTGGCATGATCGTGGATCACTACAGGCTTCACTCACTGGGCTCGAGTGATTCTCTTGCTTCAGCCTCCCAAATAGCTGGGATTACAGGTATGTGCCACCATACCTGTCTAATTTTTGTATTTTTATAGACAGGGTCTCACCATGGTTGGCCAGGCTGGTCTCCTAACTCCTGGCTTCAAGTGATCCAGTGTGCCTGGCCCCCACCAGCAATATGTGAGGGTTCCAGTCTCTCCACATCATCACCAACACTTGTAATTTTTTGTTTTCTTTCCTATAGCCATACCTATGGGTATGAAGTGCTGTGTCATTGTGGTTCATTTTTCCTGATACATTAACTTTTTAAGAGAAATGTTAGTAGACTTTATTGCTTAGAGCAGTTTTAGGTTTACAGAAAAAATGAGCAATAAGAGAGTTCCTGTTTACCCTCCCTCAATCCAACCATAGGTTCCACTATTACTAATATCTCATATTAGTGTGGTGCATTTGCTACACTTGATATACAGTATTGATATTTTATTATTAACTCAAGTCCAGTTCATATTTGACCTTTTTTTGTTTGTTTTTGAGAGGGAGTCTTGCTCTGTTGCCCAGGCTGGAGTGCAGTGGTGTGATCTCAGCTCACTGCAACCTCCACCTCCAGGGTTCAAGCGATTCTCCTGCCTCAGCCTTCTGAGTAGCTGGGATTACAGGCACCCACCACCATGCCTGCTAATTTTTATATTTTTAGTAGAGACAGGGTTTCACCGTGTTGGCCAGGCTGGTCTCAAATTTCTGACGTCAAGTGATCAGTCCACCTCAGCCTCCCAAAGTGCTGGGATTACAGGCGTGAGCCATCATGCCTGACTTTTTTTTTTTTTTTTTTTTTTTTTTTTTGAGACAGTGTCTTGCTCTGCCAGCCAGTGCAGTGGTACAATCATAGCTCGCAGTAACCTTGAGCTGCTGGATTCAGGTGAGATTACAGGTGCTAGCCACAGCAACTGACTTGAGTTCATTCTTTGTTGTATATTCTGTGGGTTTGGACAAATGCATAATGTCTTACATCTGCTAATACAGTATTATACAGAATTGTTTCACTATCCCAGGAGTCACCTGTACTCTCTCCGTATTCATCCTTCCCCCTCTTCCCTTGGATCCTTGGTAATCATTGATCTTCCTACTGACTTTACAGTTTGGTGTTTTCCAGAATATTATATAGCTAAAGTCATGTAGCCACTTCAGATTCATGTCTTTCACTTAGCAATAATCATTTAAGGTTCCTGCATGTCTTTTTTCTTTTTTTGAGACAGAGTCTTGCTCTGTCACCCAAGCTGAAGTGCAGTGGTGCGATCTCCACTCACTGCAACCTCTGCCTCCTGGGTTCAAGTGATTCTCCTGCCTCAGTCTCCCGTGTAGCTGGGATTACAGGTGCCCACCACCACCCTTGGCCAAGTTTTGTATTTTTAGTAGAGATGGGGTTTCACCATGTTGGCCAGGCTGGTCTTGAACTCCTGACCTCAGGTGATCCGCGTGCCTCAGCCTCCCAAAGTGCTGGGATTATAGGTGTGAGCCACCTCGCCTGGCCGGGTAGAGAGATCTTCACAGTTGAAAATACCTCTTCTAAATCCTTGACTTTGAGCTCCTCACGTGCTGAGAGTGTTGTAAGTTCGTCTATATAGTATACCCTATGATAACCCCTAATATGACCACAATAGATATTTAATTGTGGTGGTACTATACTTACAGAACAGGTTCATGTTATTTTTGGAAGACATTCTAGATAATAGAGACCATCTGTTTTGTATTCACCAAGATTCTTGATTCTTTGGTGATATCTCTTATTTGTTCTGGAAAATTCCCAATACTTCTCCTCACTTACTGCCTTGCCTCCATTCCCTTCTCATTCTAAGAGTCCACCCATACAGGGATACATTCAACCTTGTAGTCACCCTTTCTTTTCTGTTTTTTTTTTTTTTTTTTTTTTTTTGAGGCGAAGTCTCGCTCTGTCGCCCAGGCTGGAGTGCGGTGGTGCGATTTCGGCTCACTGCAACCTCCGCCTCCTGGGTTCAAGTGATTCTTCTGCCTCGGCCTCCCGAGTAGCTGGGACTTACAGGCACTTATTACCACGCCTGGCTAATTTTTTGTATTTTTAGTAGACACGGGGTTTCACTGTGTTAGCCAGGATGGTCTCGATCTCCTGACTTCCTGATCTGCCCGCCTAAGCCTCCTAAAGTGCTGGGATTAAATGGCATCCATTACAAGTGTTTTTTTTCTTTTCTATTTTTCATTCTGGGTAGATTACTTTGACCTGTTTTCAGTTAATCAGTCTTCTCTTTGACTAATCTGCGTTTTTTTGAGACAAGAGTCTCACTCTTTCGCCCAGGCTGGGGTGCAGTGCAGTGGCACGATCTTGGCTCTCACTGCACCCTCTGCCTCCTGGGTTCAAGCAGTTCTTGTGCCTTAACCTCTCGAGTAGCTGGGACCACAGGTGTGTGCCCCTACACCTGGCCAATTTTTGTACTTTTAGTAGAGATGGAGTTTCACCATGATGGCCAAGCTGGTCTTCAACTCCTGGCCTCAAGTGAGCCACCTGCCCCAGCCTCCCAAAGTGCTGGAATTACAAGTATGAGCCACCGCGCCAGCCGATTAATCTGCTTTTAATTTAATAACTCAATGGATAGTTCTTACCAATATCTTACTGTATTTTTCAGTTGTGATTCTTTTCAAGTCTGCTACATTGTTTTTTATGGATTCCTGTTCCCTGCTAAATTTTTCAAACTTCGCTTTTATTTCCTAGAACATACTAAATATAATTCTTTTATAGTCTCCTGATATCTCCAGTATTTGGAGTTCCTTTGGATCTATAACTGCCTCTCATGGTTCTTACTCATGGTACTTTGTTCATATGTTTGTGTGCTGGACATGGTATTTGAAAAATTGTTTATAGAAATAATTAGAGGCTTTGGGTGTGATGTCTTTTTCCAGGTGACTGACGGCACTAGCCAACGAGGATCATTTTAATACAAGTTGAAGCCCAGGCGCGCTGGCTAAGGCCTGTAATCCCAGAGCACTTTGGGAGACTGAGGCAGGCAGATCAGCTGAGGTCAGGAGTTCGAGACCAGCCTGGCCAACATGGTGAAACCCCCTCCTTACTAAAAATACAGAAATTAGCCGGGCGTGATGGCGGGTGCTTGTAATCCCAGCTACTTGGGAGGCTGAGGCAGGAGAGTCGTATGAACCCGGGAGGCGGAGGTCGCAGTGAACTGAGATGGCGCCACTGCACTCCAGCCTGGGGGGGACAGAGCAAGACTCTGTCTCAGAAAAAAAAAAAAGTTGAAGATTTGAGTTTTTTATGGACTATCCAGATGGTTTGAAGCTGAGTCCATGGGAGGGCTTATTTACTTCTACTTCAGTCTTACTCCTAGGATGCAGCCCTATGGGGCCTCAGTTCACAGGTTCGCTGGGGTGAGGAGCGCGTTACTGAGTTATGAGTTATAAGTTATCTCCTATGCAAGGCCTTGGAGTGAGCCAGGCACTTTCTGGGCCTCCACTGGCAAATCAACAAATGCCCCCAGGTCTTGCCTCTTTCTTTGGATTTCCATCTTTTTCAGGATATTAATTTGGTAATATCTCACTATCTTGTTAGATTTTTGTTACTTTTGGAAAGATGTATATATATTGTATCCAGTTTTTTGTGCAGTTATTTAGTCTGTATTACTGTAAACAGAAAACAAGGTCTTATTTTCATGGACTCATGTTATTCTAACATTAACCTTGAAACAAGTGACCATATGGTGAGTGATACTATTATACTGTATTATTGTTTATGTCTCTGTGTGACACTGTTAAGATGCCTGAATTGTTTGGGTAAACCAGGTGGTATTGGTTGGTGGGTGCTTTAAGACTCACTATCTAGAGCATGATCTCTGCAGCCAGTCGCCTGATTTTTGAATCCCAGCTCTGCCCCTTGTTTGCAATGTGACGTCAAGCAAATGACTATTCTGCCTCTGTTTCGTTGTCTAGAAAATGGAAATAATAATTGTACCTACCTCGTGGGTGGCTGTGCCAGTTAAATTAGTTCATAACTAAAGCTTTTAGAACATTGCCAGACTTACAGTAATGATTAGATAAATTTTAGCTATTATTATTACCACCTAGAAGCTTTGGAAATACAGGGATACCTCATTTTATTGCATTCTACTTTATTGTACTTCACAGATATTGTGGGATTTTTTTGTTTTATAAATTGAAGGTTTATTGCAACCCTGCATTGAGCAAGTCTAAGTCTGTTGGTGCCAATTTTTCAACAGCATGTGCTCACTTTGTGTCTTTGTGCCACATTTTGGTAATTCTCCCAATATTTTAAACATTTTATTCATTTTATTTTATTTATTTTTGAGTCGGAGTCTCGCTCTGTCTCCCAGAGCTGCACTGGAGTGAAGTGGCGCCATCTCGGCTCACTACAACCTCCACCTCCTGGGTTCTAGCGATTCTCCCCCTCAGCCTCGTGAGTAGCTGGGATTACAGGTGTGCACCACCATGCCCGGCTAATATTTTTATTTTTAGTAGAGGTGGGGTTTCACTGTGTTGGCCAGACTGGTCTGGAACTCCTAACCTGAAGTGATCTGCCTGCCTCAGCCTCCCAAAGTGCTGGGATTACAGGCATGAGCCACCACACCTGGCCTGAATATTTTAAACTTTTTTTTTTTTTCTGAGAGAGATTTTCACTCTTGTTCCCCAGGCTGGAGTGCAATGGCGTGATTTTGGCTCACTGCAATCTCCGCCTCCGGGGTTCAAGTGATTCTCCTGCCTTAGCCTCCCGAGTAGCTGGGATTACAGGCATGCGCCATCACGCCCTGCTAATTTTGTATTTTTAGTAGAGACGGGGTTTCTCCGTATTGGCTAGGCTGGTCTCGAACTCCTGTTCTCAGATGATCCACCCGCTTCGGCCTCCCAAAGTGCTGGGATTACAGGCATGAGCCACCGCGCCCAGCCTTAAACTTTTAAAATTGTTATCTGTCATGAAGATCTGTGATCAGTGATCATCGATGTTACTTTTTTTTTTCTTTTTTGAGATGGAGTCTCGCTCTGTCGCCCAGGCTGGAGTGCAGTGGTGCGATTTCGGCTCACTGCAAGCTCTGCCTGCCGCGTTCACGCCATTCTCCTGCGTCAGCCTCCCGAGTAGCTGGGACTACAGGTGCCCGCCATCACACCTGGCTAATTTTTTTGTATTTTTAGTAGAGACAGGGTTTCACCGTGTTAGCCAGGTTGGTCTCAATCTCCTGACCTCATGATCCACCCACCTCGGCCTCCCAAAGTGCTGGGATTACAGGCGTGAGCCACCGCGCCCGGCCTGATGTTACTTTTGTAATTGTTTTGGAGCGCCACAAAGCACTCCCATATAAGACGGCGAACTTAATATATACATGTTGTGTATAGATGTGTGTTCAGACTGCTGCCAACTGGGTGTCCCCCCATCTCACCACCTCCTCAGGTCTCTCTGTTACCTCAGACACAACAGTATTGAAGTTAGGTCAGTTAATAACCTGATCATGACCATTAAATGTTCAAGTGACAGGAAGAATTGCACATCTCTCACTTTTAAATCAGAAGCTAGAAATGATGGTTTAGTGAGGAAGGCATGTCAAAAGCCAAGATAGGCTGAATACTAGGCCTATTGCACCAAACGTGGCCAAGTTATGAATGCAAGAAAAGGTTCTTGAAGAAAGTTAAAAGTACAACTCCAGTGAACACATGAATGAGAAGAAAACGAAACAGCTTATTGCTGATATGGAAAAGTTTTAGTGACTCAGATGGAAAATCAACCAGCCGCAACATTCCCTTAAGCCAGAGCCTAATCCCAGAGCAAGACTTTCTCTTTTCACTTCTGTGAAGGCTGAAAAAAGTAAGAAGCTGCAGAAGTGAAGTTTGAAGCTAGCACAGATTGGTTCCTAAAGTTCTTGAAACCATCTCTGTAACATTAAAATGCAAGTTGAAGCAAGTGCTAATGTAGAAGCTGCAGCAAGTTATCTAGAAGATGTAGCCAAGATCACTGATGAAGGTGGCTATATTGAACAGATATTCAGTGTAGCCTTATGTCAGAAAAGATGCCATCTAGGACTTCCATAATTAGGAGAAGTCAGTGCCTGGCTTCAAAAGACAGGCTGACTGTTATTAGGAGCTGGTGTAGCTGGTGAATTTAGGTTGATGCCAGTGCTCATTTACCATTCTAATAATTCTAGGGCCCATAAATTTATGCTAAATCTACTCTGCCTGTGCTCTGTCAGTGGATCAACAAAACCTAGATGACAGCACATCTGTTTACAGAATGGTTTAATGAATATTTTAAGGCCACTGTTGAGACCTACTACTCAAAAGATTTCTTTCAGAATATTACTTCTTGACAGTATACCTGGTCACCTAAGAGCTCTGATGGAAATGTATAAGGAGATAAATGTTGTTTTCATGCTTGCTAACACAACATCTATTCTGCAGCCCCTGGATCAAGGAATCATTTTGATTTTCAAGTCTTATTTAAGAAATATGTTTCATAAGGCTCTAGCTGCTATACATAATAATTCCTCTAGTGGGTCTGGGCAGAGTGAATTGAAAACCTTTCGGAAAGGATTTACCATTCTAAATGCCATTAAGAACATTTGTGATTCATGGGAGGAGGTCAGTACATGAACAGGAGTTTGGAAGATGATTCCAGCCCTCATGGATGACTTTGAGGGGTTCAGGACTTCAGTGGAGGCAGGAACTGCAGATGTGGTAGAAATAGCAAGAGAACTCGAATTAAAAGTGGAGCCTGGAGATGTGACTGGATTGCTGTAATCTCATGATAAAACTTGAACAGATGAGGAGTTGCTGCTTATGGATGAGCAAAGAAAGTGATTTATTGAGATGGAATCTACTCCTGATGAAGATGCTGTGAACATTGTTGAAATGCCAATGAAAGATTTAGAATATTACATAAACGTAGTTGATTAAGCAGTGGCGGGGTTGAAGAGAACTGACTGCAGTTTTGAAAGAAGTTCCACTGTGGGTAAAATGCTATCAAACAGTTTGGCATGCTATAGAAAAATCTCTTAGAAAAGGAAGAGCCAGTCGATGCGTCAGACTTCATGGGTGTGTTATTTGAAGAAATTTGCCACAGCCACCTCAGCCTTCAGCAACCACCACCCTAATTAGTCAGCAGCCATCAACATGGAGGCAAGACCCTCCGTCAGCAAAAAGATTAGGACTCCCTGAAGGCTCAGATGATTGTTAGCATTTTTTAACGATAAAGTATTTTTTAAATTAAGGTATGAACATTGTCTTTTAGACATAATACCATTTCACACTTAGTAGACTGAAGTATAGCGTACACATATAAAAGTTAATATGTGCTGGAAAACCAGAAAATTTGTGTGACTCGCTTTATTGCCACGGTCTGGAACCAGACCCACAATACCTGCAATGTTATGCTTGTGGCTGATTTTTCATAGAATGTTTGTGTCTCTTTGACTTTTTTATTTTCAAAATTTAGGATTGCAGGTGACTCTCCATTGGCTTATTTCAGAATGACTGGGGTTAGGGTGTTTGCTAATTGCATGCCAGTGGTCAGGGAAGAAGGGAAAACTCTTGCACTTTAGAGGCCATCTGCCTCCAAGTAGAGCTCCAACTGTCAGGCCACTGTCCCTCTGTGGGGAGGGTGGGGATTGGTCCTGTGGCTTGTAGTTCTTGCCATATAGATTAAGAATGCGCTCCGTCGGCATTCTTCATTGTGAATTAGAGGATTGATGAGGATTTAACCCTGCTGTGATTTCTATGAATGGACTGTAGATCCCAGGGTGTGGGATCTTTCCTAACTCGAGAATGACAAAAATTACCTGTCACAGAGTGCTGTTACACCAATC
The DNA here is from genome assembly GCF_000001405.40 of Homo sapiens. NCBI lineage: Eukaryota > Metazoa > Chordata > Mammalia > Primates > Hominidae > Homo > Homo sapiens. The sequence goes on along the minus strand of NW_009646207.1, from coordinate 139,095 downwards.
AGTAGTTATTTATTGTGTTTTTTAGGGTTTATTTTGTTTGTTTGATAACCTCTTTTCCATTTTTTTCCTTGTTGTCTTTTACTTGTTTTTTTGTTTTTGTTTTTGTTTGTTTTTTTGAAGTGGAATCTCACTGTCACCCAGGCTGGAGTGTGCAGTGGTGAGATCTCGGCTCACTGCAACCTCTGCTTCCTGGGTGTACAAGCAAGTGATTCTCGGATTACAGGTGCCTGCCACCATGCCCAGCTAATTTTTGTATTTTTGGTAGAGACAGGGTTTCACCATGTTGGCCAGGCTGATCTTGAACTCCTGACCTCAAGTGATCTGCCTGCCTCGGCCTCCCAAAGTGCTGGGATTATAGGCGTGAGCCACCATGTCTGGTGTCTTTTACTTATTTTATTATTGGTTCAAGTTTTTACCTGAGAGAGGGAAAGAGGGTGGTAATTCTAACAGTGATAATTTTGATTTATATGGTACTTAGCTGTTTGCAGACTTACTGTGGGACATTCCCGTGTGGTGGCAAGGTAGGTTAACTCCACTTTTGCAGGTGAAGAATGTGAGACATATGGGTTAAATAACTTGCCCAAGTCACAGAACAAGTGGCAAGACTAGGAAGTATTTAGATTTCTTAATTCTAAATGTAGTACTTTTTCCAACAGATGACCCAGAAGAATCAATAGAAAACAAATTTAATAGTGGAAGCAATTGTATGTACAAATAAAATTGTATTTTTTGTTCACTTCGCTTACTAAAATAAAATCCTATTTCTAGATGATTTTCTAAACATGTTTTTCTTGGTCTCTTTGTTCAAGTCATTTAGTTTGACTCTAGGTAAGATAGTACTACTCAATGTTCTTTCTGTCACTTCAGGAGAGAGATGGTGTGCACCAGTTGATACCCAATGTTCCCTTGTTCTTCTCCCTGATATTACATCAGAGAAGTCCCCAGTTGAGAAGGGAGGAGGAAAGTTTTATGGTTACTGTTCCTCAAATCTCTTGGGAAAGACAGCAAACTGCTGTCAGGAGTAGTTTTCTTTTGTCTCAGTGTCTGTTACATTTATACATGGCACCCTCCTTATCATAGTTATGGCTTGCACCCTAAAATAAGGTCTAGAGCGACAGACATTTACAAAGTTCTTTTTTTTTTTTTTTTTGAGACAGAGTCTCATTCTGTTGGCCAGACTGGAGTGCAGTGGCACGATCTCGGCTCACTGCAACTTCTGTCTCCTGGGCTCAAGCAATTCTCCTGCCTCAGCCTCCCGAGTATGTGGGACTACAGGCATGCGCCACTATGCCTGGCTAATTCTTGTATTTTTTTTAGTAGAGGTGGGGTTTCACCATGTTGGCCAGGCTTGTCTTGAACTCCTGACCTCGTGATCCGCCTGCCCTGCCCTCCAAAAGTTCTGGGATTTACAGGCGTGAGCCACTGCACCCGGCACAAAGTTCTTATGCTACCGAAATGATCTTTTTGTTCTTCTGACCCTAATTATTAGGTTTTCTGACCCTAAATTAATTTGCTAATTCTTGATGCTCTTCTTGGATACTTAGATGTAACTATTTCACCTTAGTTTGGAGTTAGCATTTTGATGTTTTTAATATATTTGAAATAATCCTGCAAACTATTTTTTGGTTTGGGCTTTTAAGTGGGACGCTCAATCTTCAGAAGGACTTTTAGCTTATGGACACTTAAAAAAAGCAAGAACTAGCACATTGTTTCTTGGTATTTTGGAATTGTGGTGAGTTTGAGGCAACCGTGGAAGTGTAGAGTGTGTTGACTCACCTCCGCTCCTCCTAACTCCTGTGTTCATTTCACAGGAATTAATCGTCCAGACAATATTCCTCCCATGCCTGCATCCCCAGCCATATGGAGAGGACCCCATAAACTGTAAAAAGGTTCATTGGCTTTTATCTGGAGGGGACTAAACCCATAGAACTCGGTTCTGCTTTTTGCTTCATTTGACAGGTTGACCTATGGTGTTGGTACGTCCAGTAAAATCAAGTCTAAATGCTTTGGTTGACTGCATTTCTCATTGCTTTGCTCAGGAAGGCCAAGGACACATTAAAATCTGTTTGTCCCCTCCTATATTTTCTTTCTAAGGTTGTTAGCCAGCACTTTTGTTTTACAGTGTGTTTTTGTTTGGACTCGACTTCTGCTCGTAAATTAGGATGTGGTCAGTTAAGAGCATTTTGAATTTTAAACGTGTCTGTTTCACTGGTTTTGTGTCTCCATGTTTATGTATAGGGAAAGTAAGTTTTCATGTTTTTACATTTTGTTTGTACTAAACTTAAGTGCTTTCTTTCAAGGGCTAGAGGCATTGAAAGTAATTTTAAAAACTCTAAAGAAACCTTTTTATTCTCATTGCTTACATTTTTAATAACAAGTTAGGTAGCTTTTATTCTTCAGAAGTGGGATTTATTATGTAAAGCCACTTTTTGGAAGAGGTGAAAATTAACCTGCCTTTCCTTATGCCTCAGTGAGAGGTGAGGTTCAGAGCAGAGAATGCAGGTAGGGATTATGGAAACCCTTTCTTGGTATTAATTTTCCTCACAGATTAAAACTTTTGGTCTTCATCTGTTACCTTTACATTTGTCAGAAAGAGAATTTATATTGTCAACTTAATTCACCCAGTGTTCGATTGCTTGCTCTGTGCGTGGCAGTAAGAGAACTAAGGTCCCACGCTGTGGGGGAAATAGAAGGGTAGATAACTCTGGTAATGCTTATCATGGCTTGTGTTCTAGGAAGGTGTTAAGGGAAAAGTGCGATTTGCACTGGACTTGAAAGGTGAGTGGTATGTCAGCAAAGCTGGTATTATTCACGCAGAAGGACCAGGCTGAACAAACGAAAAGGTGCAGAAGGTGCCTGCTGGGTGTGCTGGGAATACACAGAACATTGCTAAGAACAGTAGAAGTTAGGGCACATTCCTTGTTAGTCCCAGCCTGTCTTCCTTACTGACTGGCTGTATAACCTTATGAGAGTTACTAAACTTTCTGAGCCTTTGTTTCCTCATCTGCAGAATGGCTAGTTACTGCATAATAGAGTTAAGATTAAATGAGACTATAATATATTGCATTGCAGCTGGGTGTGATGGCTCACACCTGTAATCCTAGCACTTTGGGAGGCCGAGGCAGGTGGATGACTTCAGGTCAGGAGTCCGAGACCAGTCTGGCCAACATGGTTAAAACCTCGCCTCTACTAAAAATACAAAAATTAGCCGGGTATTGTGGCACAAGCCTGTAATCTCAGCTACTTGGGAGACTGAGGCAGGAGAATTGCTTGAACCAGGGAGGCAGAGGTTGCACTGAGCCGAGATTGCACCAGTGCACTCCAGCCTGGACGACAGAGGGAGACTCTGTCTCAAAACAAACAAAAAATATTGCATTGCACATAATTTAAACACTCAATAAAAGTAGTTGCAATTATTGTTTTCTTTTAAATTTTATTTGTTTTAAAATTAGCATGTTGGTCAAACTAGTTTTTTTTTTTTTTTTTCTTTTTGGAGACGGAGTCTTGCTCTGTTGCCCAGGCTGGAGCGCAGTGGCACGATCTAGGCTCACTGCAAGCTCCGCCTCCCGGGTTGCTGGGACCACAGGTGCCCGCCACCACGCCGTGCTAATTTTTTTGTATTTTTTTTAGTAGAGATGGGGTTTCACCGTGTTAGACAGGATGGTCTCGATCTCCTGACCTCGTGATCCGCCCGCCTCGACCTCCCAAAGTGCTGGGATTACGGGCGTGAGCCACTGCGCCCGGCCGATCGAACTAGTTGCTGAAAGATGACTATGCCCTGTAATCCCACCCCCAAAACATCTGTTGTCAGCAGTTGAATGAATATCAGTCGTCTTTCTAATTTTCATCTCTGGCACCTTTGGTGCTGGTGGTACGTTGTTTTTTTTTTGTTTTGGTACAATCATGCCTCAGTTAACAACAGAATATTTCTAAGAAGTGCATCATTGAGTGATTTTTGTCGTTGTTCTAACATCTTAGGATGTACTTACACACACCTAGCCTGGGTGTAGCCGACTGCCCATCTAGGCTATGTGGTATAGCCTATTGCTCCTAGGATACAAACCTGTACCGCATGTTACTGTACTGAATGCTGTAGGAGATTGTAAAAGAGTGGTAAGTATGTATCTGCATATGTCTAAACATAGAGAAGGTACAGTAAAAATAAGGTATAAAAGATAAGGAAGTTGTTCTGGGTGAGTCAGTGAGTGAATGGTGAATGAAGGTAAAGGCCCAGGACGTTACTGCACACTACTGTAGATGTATAAACACTGTACATTTGGACTACACTAAATTTATTTTTTAAAGTTTTCTTGTTTTGATATTATTAACCTTAGATTACTGTAACTTTTTTTTTTTTTTTTTTGAGACGGAGTCTCTCTCTGTCGCCCAGGCTGGAGTGCGGTGGCTTGATCTTGGCTCACTGCAAGCTCCGCCTCCCGGGTTCACGTCATTCTTCTGCCTCAGCCTCTCGAGTAGCTGGGACTACAGGTGCCCGCCACCACACCTGGCTAATTTTTTGTATTTTTAGTAGAGACGGGGTTTCACCGTATTAGCCAGGATGGTCTTGATCTGCTGACCTTGTGATCCACCCGCCTGGGCCTCTCAAAATGCTGGGATTACAGGCATGAGCCACCAGTCCCTGGCCAGATTACTGTAACTTTTTTACTTTAAAAACTTTAAAAATTTGTAACCTTTTGACTCTTGTAATAACACTTAGCTTAAACCACAAATACATTGTGCAGCTGTTCAAAAATATTTTCTGTCATTGTGTTATTCTATAAACTTTTTTATGATTATTATTAATTACTCTTAGAGATAAGGTCTTACTCTGTTCCAGGCTGGAGTGCAGTGGCACAGTCATAGCTCCCTGTAACCTCAAACTCCTGGGCTCAAGCAACCCTCACTTAAGCCTCCTGAGTAGCTAGGACTACAGGTGCATACCACCGTGCTTGGCTACGTTTTTTTAGTTTTTATAGAGCTGGAGTCATGCTATGTTGCCCAGGCTGGTCTCAAACTCCTGGCATCAAGCAATCCTTTCTCCTCTGCCTCCCAAAAGTTCTGGAATTGTAGGTGTGAGCCACCAGGCCTAGCCACTTTATAAGCTTTTTTTTCTATTTATTATCATTATTTGAGACAGAGTCTTGCTGTGTCGCCCAGGTTGGAGTGGAATGGTGCAGTCTCAGCTCACTGCAGCCTCCATGTCGCGAGTTCAAGCGATTCTCCTGCCTTAGCCTCCCAAGTAGTTGGTACTACAGGCACACGCCATTACACCTGGCTAATTTTTGTGTTTTTTTTAGTAGAGACGGGGTTTCACCGTGTTGGCCAGGCTGGTCTGGAATTCCAGACCCCATGTGATCCACCCACCTTGGCCTTCCAAAGTACTGGGATTACAGACGTGAGCCACCTCACCGAGCCATATTTAAATATTTTTTATTTTTTATTTTTTCACTTTTTAAACACTTTTGTTAAAAACTAAGACACAAACACATGCATTAGCCTAAACCTACACAGGGTCAGAATAATCAATATCACTGTCTTCCAGCTTCACATCTTGGCCCACTGGAAGGTCTTTAGGGTCAGTAACACACATGGAGCTATCATCTCCTATGATAACAGTGTCTTTTGTTTGTTTGCTTTGGTTTTTTTTTTGAGACAGTCTCTCTCTGTCGCCCAGACTGGAGTGCAGTGGCATGATCTCGGCTCACTGCAACCTCCACCTCCCAGGTTCAAGCGATTCTCTGCCTCAGCCTCCTGAGTAGCTAGGACTTATAGGCACATGCTCCCACACCCAGCTTTAGTTAACTATTTTTATAAGTAGAATACATAGTATACATAACATAGAATTCTACATAGGATATGTAAACCAGTAACATAGTTTATTTTCAAGTATTATGTACTGTACATAGTTGTATGTGCTATGCTTTTATACCACTGGCAGTATATTAGGTTTACACTTGCATGACCATAAACAAGGAGGTAATATGTTGCATTATGACAGCTACAGCATCACCAGGCAATAGGAGTTTTTCAGCTCCATTGTACTCTGATGGGACCACCATTGTGTACGTGGTCATTGTTGACAGAAATGTGTTATGTAGCACGTGACTATTTTTATTGCTGTTGCTTCAACTTTAAGGTGTTTGGGAGGCAGGGAAGGGAAAGCTGTGTGGTACACCTGGAAGACAAGTCTGCATGTGCTGTACTAATAATTGGGAGCCAGTGAAGGTTTTAAAATAGGGGGTGAATTAATCAGATCTTTTTCAGTAAGATGCTGAAATGCAAGCTGGATTGGAGGGAAGTCTAGTAGCAGAGCAACAAGTGTTTGCTTGGCTGCTGTTTGAGGACCTTGTAGATGTGAGACATGTTTGTTACATGCCTTCAACAATACATGGCTCAGCTGGGGAGATAAGGCATTCATACCAAGTGGGGAAATAAGGACACAGCCACCAGGTAATGGTGTATGGACAAGAAGTGCTGTAGCTGTTTGGGGAAGGCAAGATCACCAAGCTGAGCCGTTTTCCTGAAGCCTTCAGTGAGGAAGCCAAATGGCCTTGAGGAATGACTCAGATTTGGAAAGTGTTTTGGGGAGAGGCCAAGCACAAATCAAGAGGTCGGAGCGCATGGTCTGTGTGGAGTGGTGGGTTTGGCCAATAGTGAGCAGTATGGTTGGAAAGGAAAATTGCCGTGGCCTTCAACAAACCTGTTGTTACGCACCCTATCTTCTGACCCTCTCTCTTCACTGTACTGTACCTGCGTTACTCTCTTGCAGTTTGAGGCTTTTCAGGATAGAACAGTGTCCTAGTTATTTTCCCAGGTCTAGTAAACAGCCCAGCACATAGTAGATGCTTAAAAACAACAATAAAAGAATGATTGGATATTTGCTGTTTATGGAAGTTACAGACTGGATATCCTGCCGTTCCCTTAAACTTAGATCTCAAATAAAATCCTAATATCACCTCTCTCCTTCCCTTTTTTATTCTGTGCTAAGTTTAAACAGGTTAGGTGCCCCTCTGCTCCCACAGCTGTGTGCTTACCTTGCCATTCCATAATTATGGACATCTCTGCTGTGATCATACTGCATGACTCTCACCAGCACGTTGGATGTCCAACATGTCACATTTGCTTGGGACCCCCCCACTGCCTTTCCTCCTTCCTACTTCTTCACTCTCCTTTTCTGGCTTCTTTTCCTCTTCTCCACCTTCTAAATGATAGAGTGATTGCAGGGATCAGTCACTCCAAGTTAGCCTCTAGACCAGTGGTTTTAAATCTTTTTGTTCAGCCATACCAAATGCCGGACAAGTACAAACACACTACACCGTCTTGTGCACACAGACACAACAGAAACAAAAGTTTCACAAAACGGTTCTTATACTTCATGAGCCGTGGACTCTGTTATTTTCCATTCTGCTCTATTTCATTTTTTTTTAAGTGCTGTTCATGACCCACTAAATTGATTTCACAGCCTGCAGTTTGAAAAACTGCTCTGGGTGATCTCATCTACTCTGTTGGCTTTAAATACTACCTCTGTGCTAATGACCTTCCCATTTTTATCTCTACTCCACCTTTCCTTGGAGATCCTGTCGCATTGGCTGTCTCCCTGCTGTTTCCATGTGGATGTGCAATGGGAATCGCGTGTTGCCATGTTTGGCAAAGCACTCTTGATTCCCTTTACCAGCCTCGTTCCTCTTCACAAATGGTGCAGTGTTTGCAGTTGTTCTGTAAGGGATGGTGAATGGAGTACAAGCTCCCCAGTCACTGCCTAAGCTCAGATCTGAGGCCTTGGGCAGCTACACAACCTCTCTCTACCATGTTGTCTTCATTTGAATAAAGTGGGGTTGTCACTTGTACCTCTTGGGATTATTGTGACAGTTGAATGAATTTTCACCTGAAAAGACATGGAGCAGTGGCTGGCACATGGCTTGTGTTTAACTAGTGTTGGCTGCTGCTGTTTATCATTGTTGTTATGACTCTCATGTCCACTTCTGATCCGTTAGCAATTTCTGTTGGCTCTGACTTCAGACTGTGTCCGTTTTGACTGTGTGTCACTACCTCCATCAACACCACATTCACCCATGCAGCCAACGTCCCTTAACCAGACTACCAACTAACTAATTCCCTGCTCTGTCCTTGCCCCTCCCCTGGTCTGTTTTCCACAAAACAGCCAGAGGAGCCATTTAAGAACTGAAACCAGATCATGCCACTCTATAGTTTAAAACCCTCCAAAGGCTTCTAATAAAATCTGAACTTCCCCATGTGGCTCTTACTTTTTATAAGACCTTTCACTGGTACTTCACAAACAGTAACATATGTGTGACTTGCTAGTGACCTTGTTAACATGCAGAATCTGATCCTGTAGGTCTGTGGGGCCTGAGACACTACATCTCTAATAAGCTTGACCAGGTGAATGTGGTAAATATCAGCAGTAGTGGGATGGGTTGCCATCAGTCTTCTTCTTATGCAATGTCCTGGGAAGAATACAGCACCATGTGTCTGGTATTGCCGCTAAGGAAGCATGACCTGAGTCTGGTCACGAGGAAATACAGATCAGATTGAGGGTTATCCTGCAAAATGAAAAGACTGTACTCTGGCAGGGACATGGAAGTCAGGAAGAGAAAAGGGAACTATTCCAGATTGATTGACACTGGTGAGATGTAGCTCTGGGGTAGACTCCTGGACTAGAAAGGAAAGACATTGTTGGGACAGCTGACAAAATTCAAATGGGGTCTATGGATTGGATTGAGAGTGTAGTATCAGTGTTGATTTCCTGATGTGGAGGCTTGTATGCTGGTTATGGAGGAGAATGTCCTTGTTTTTGGAAATAACGCACTAGAGTATTGAGCAACAATGGAGCTTCATGCCTTCAGCCTGCTCTCAAAGGGGTCAGGAAAAGATAATGGAGCAAATGAGGTAAAGCATCAGTTGGAGAATCTCGTTGAAAGAGGGTATGTGAGCCCTTTGAACTATTTTTGCACTTTTCTGTACATTTGAAGTAATTTAAAATTACTATTTTTTTTTGAGAGAGGCTGTTGCTCTGTCTCCCAGGCTGGAGTGCAATGGAACGATCTTAGCTCACTGCAGCCTCCAGAGTTCAAGTGATTCTTGTGCCTCAGCCACTCGAGTAGCTAGGATTACGGGCATGTGCCACCATGCCCAGCTAATTTTTGTATTTTTAGTAGAGACGGGGTTTCACTGTAATGGCCAGGCTGGTCTTGAACTCCTGGCCTCGTGTGTTCTGCCTGCCTTGGCCTCTCAAAGTGCTGGGATTACAGGCGTGAGCCACCACGCCCAGTCTTAAAAATTATTTTTTAATATCCTATTGAGATTTTGACTGGAACCTATTAGAATTTTATAAACTAATATGTGGAGACTTAACGTCTTTACAATACTAGCCCTTTTTATCTAGCTATACCATTTGTTCTGCTAGTTTGTTTCTTTCCTTTTGTTTTGAGCTTTTTTGGGTTGTTCAGTGAAGTCTCTAATTTTCATATAGCTTTTGCCCACTTCTGCTTTGGATTGGTCATTGATATCTTTTGAATTTTAATTCAGAATTGTATTTGTTTGTTTTATTATTATTTCTTTTTAAGAGACAGAATCTCACTCTGTCACCCACGCTGGATGGAGTTCAGTGGCGTGATCTTGGCTCACTGCAACCTCCACCTCCTGTGTTCAAGCGATTCTCCTGCCACAGCCTCCTGAGTAGCTGGGATTATAGGTTTCCGCCACCGTATGTGGCCAGTTTTTGTATTTTTAGTAGAGACAGCATTTCACCATGTTGGCCAGGCTGGTCTTGAACTTCTGACCTCAGGTGTGATCTGCCTGCCTCAGCCTTCCGAAGTGCTGGGATTACAGGCTTGAGCCACCAGGCCCGGCCTCAAAATTATATTTGAATGAATTATAAAATGGAACATCCTTTTAGCCTATAAGTGGCAACACTAATTACCTCCCTTTTGCCTCTGAAGGTTTAGAAATTATGTATTAATACAACCTTTGAATGAAAAAATATATTCAATGACATCTCAGAAGCCCCTACGCTCAGCATTTAAGAAAATCCCACAGGAGCCTCTAGCTAGCCCCAGAGATGTCCTGCTCCCACCCTTCTCCTGCCCCCTTTTTGGGAACTGTTTGGCCATCCTGCTCACATATGTGGTCATCTGAAGTGATCTTGGGATGCCCCTGTGAAAATAAGACAGATAGCCATGGAGTGGGGGTGGGGCCAGGATAGGGCCCAGGTGCCTTTGGTCTGCTCAGGAGCAGATTTATAGCATCTCCTTGCAGAGTTACAGAAGCATGTGGTGGATATAGGATGCTTGCAGCCTCTTGGCTGTTTGAAATTATGCCTAATAATAGGCCTGCCGACTGTGGGTTGGAATTCAGCTGACTTTAGGCCTGATTCTCAAAAAATAATTTTGAGCTAGTGACCCTGTGTGCACACTTGCCTGGGCACTGTGGTGTCCAACAACCCTGTGTGTGGCATTGGCACCAGGTTTCCTGAAGTAGAGGTCCTGTCTGGCAGGCTCCTCCCTTCCCTCCTGCTTCTGACTTGTGGGGTCCCCTGTGCCTCTATTTCTTTCCCTTGGGCAGAGCAGCACTTTGCTGTCAGTAGGAACAGATAAAGCTCTGATACTGTTGAGATAGTTCAAGGGTTGTAATTTTTTTTTTTTTTTTTTTTTTGAGACGGAGTCTCGCTCTGTCGCCCAGGCCGGACTGCGGACTGCAGTGGCGCAATCTCGGCTCACTGCAAGCTCCGCCTCCCGGGTTCACGCCATTCTCCTGCCTCAGCCTCCCGAGTAGCTGGGACTACAGGCGCCCGCCACCGCGCCCGGCTAATTTTTTGTATTTTTAGTAGAGACGGGGTTTCACCTTGTTAGCCAGGATGGTCTCGATCTCCTGACCTCATGATCCACCCGCCTCGGCCTCCCAAAGTGCTGGGATTACAGGTGTGAGCCACCGCGCCCGGCCTAAGGGTTGTAATTTTTAAATGAGGTTAATGACATTTTGGCTGAGCACTGTGGCTCACCCTGTAATCGCAGCACTTTGGGAAGCCAAGACAGGTGGATCACTTGAGGTCAGGAGTTCAAGACCAGCCTGGCCAACATGGCGAAATGCTGTCTCTACTAAAAATACAAAAATTAGCCGGACGTGGTGGCAGGCACCTGTAATCTCAGCTACTTGGGAGGCTGAGGCAGGAGAATTGCTTGAACCTGGGAGGCAGAGGCTACAGTGAGCCAAGATTGCACCACTGCACTCCAGCAGTGCAGTGTAAGACTCTGTCTCAAAAAAAAAAAAAAAAAGTGATTATTTCCTACACAAAAATTAATGTAAATAGAAATGAAAAGGGGAAAAAATACTTCCACAACACTGCCATCTTGGATAGTCCAGAAGTTTTCCTTTTTTCTCCATTATTCCCTTTGGCCTGGGACTAAATGAATGCCTCATTTTCAGATAGTTATAATCATAGCACAGGTATAAGTTTACGTGAGCTGCTCTTTTCATCTGATACTATGTAATTTTCTATGGTGCTAGAGTCTTTGCAATTGTTTAAAATGATTATGTACTATTTCTTTGAGTGGATATACCATAATTTGTTTAATCAATTTTCAAATAGGTTGTTGCCAGTTTTTTCTTCTAATACATATTACTGGAGTGAATATGTTGGTATTTTGTTTTTTTGTTTGGTTGACTGTTTTATTACCAGTTTTCTTTTCCAAGAGTCATAATCATTTATGGTGCTTTTTTTTTTTTTTTTTTTTTTTTTTTGTACCAGCTTTAGCCTAACCTAACCAGATGGGATATCATCTTTTAAATTTTTTAGGAAATTTTTTTTTTGAGACAGAGTCTCGCTTGTTGCCCAGGCTGGAGTGCAGTGGTGCGATCTCACTGCAATCTCTGCCTCCCAGGTTCACGCCATTCTCCTGCCTCAGCCTCCTGAGTAGCTGGGACTACAGGTGCCTACCACCACGCCCGACTAATTTTTTTGTATTTTTAGTAGAGACGGGGTTTCACTGTGTTAGCCAGGATGGTCTCAATCTCCTGACCTCGTTATCCGCCCACCTCGGCCTCCCAAAGTGCTGGTATTACAGGCGTGAGCCACTGCGCCTGGCCAGGAAATGTAATAGTTACAAATTTATCCCCCTAGTTTTTGCCTGCATGTATTTGGTCATGATTCAAGGTGGATATTTTTTATGGCTTACATGGCTAATATGAGTTTTGACACCCAGAAAGCAATCTTTTTAGATATGCAGCATTCTTGTGGGTTTCTTTCCTTCTAGACAAGGAACTGACTTGCGAATTCTGAGTTGCTTTCAGACTCTTCTGATCTCCCAAGTCAGGGAGGAAGCCAGCACCTTCATTACACTTCATTTTATTCTGAAGTCCTATTACACTAAGATAACTTTTAGCCACTGAGAAAAATATAGGCTCTGCCCATGTGCAAACAGGACATAGAGTATGAAATATTAAGTCACTGAGCAGATCTTTATGCTTGATACACTTAGGAAGATCCCACATTTGCACATACACAAAACAAACGATACAGGTGTTACAGATATATCTAGGTACAAGCAGTCAACTAAATTCTAGCAAGATTCCTCAAGATTCCTTTCTAAAATGCTTCCCAATGTCACAGATTGGGAAATACAGACTGGGTTTTGCAGTGGGCATATTATATATCTTATCTCATTGTTTACCATGAATATTTTGCTTGTTTAACTTCTGAGTCTCCATTTACAAAAAGGATTACTAACATTTCTTAGATCATGGTAAGGATGAAATGCATTAACATTTGTGTAAAGCACCTGATAGTGTGTCACATGTGTGAGGCATGGCAATAATTGATAGCTACAGTTATTAGAGATCTGACCCAAGTGTGTGTCAGGATTTTCAAAAATATGCATTTGGATCTTCCTTGCCTAATTTTGTGGTACAGTGAAAGAAAGGGTTATGGGCTCTAGAATCAGAAGAATTGGAGTTACAGAATGTCAGCTCCAACTTGTCCTAGAGGAGTGACTTTTGGAAAATTTGGACTTTTGGAAAAAATTACATTAATTTTTCCCCCTCATTCATTAATTGAGTTACAGGTAAAACCACACAGTGACTAACATATATAGATTGCTAAATAAATGGCAATTATTTATTTATTTACTGGGACAGGTCTTACTGTAGCACCCAGGCTGGAGTGTAGTAGCGTGCAGCCTCGGCTCACTGCAACCTCTGCCTCCCAGGCTCAAGTGATCCTCCTGCCTCAGCCTCTGGAGTGGCTGGGACTACAGGCACAAGCCAGCACACCCAGCTAATTCTTTTGTATTTTTTGTGGAGACGGGGTCTTGTTATGTTGCCCATGCTGGTCTCCTGAGCTCAAACAGTCTGCCTGCCTCGGCCTCCCAAAGTGCTGGGATTACAGGTGTGAGCCACTGTGGCCGGCCAGCAATTTTTATTATATCAGTGGTACATACCTTAGATACTGGTTAAAGGTAAATACTTTAATTGGTTTGTTTTTACTAAGCAAGGTAAAGCCAACACATTCTCTGCTTAGAGGAAGATTTGTAGAGAAAATCACATGGATAACACATTTTAGGAGCTCTTAAGATACAGCAGGACACATTCTAAGAGCTCTTAAGAACCATATGATCTCATGTGGCAAGAAGGAATTTATGGGCCTGGGGATGCTTAAAAGGCTCCAAGTTGAGACCAAGGTGAGAGTGGGCCGATGGCACAAAGGGGGCTGAGCAGGCTTGTTTGAGAGGGTGGGGAGAAGCAGAAATTGTGTTGGGAAGATGTCACAGGGCTTCAGGGCCTATGGGGGGGTGTGATGGTGTCAAAATGGCAGTTAAGCAAAAGAAAGTACTGGGAAAGAGAACTTTTCAGGTGTTATTCTAGCCCAAGAAAGATGAAAATGACAGTGACGAGAATGGAATGGGAAAGGACAAATACAGGAAGGAGAGTAGTGTCATGATGAGGTAGCATGGTAAATACAGAGTCAAAGTGAAAGGTCAGTTTGGGGTTATTCTAAAGCTTCTTGCTTGGGATGATCATGGTTTTCTTTGAGAATAGGCAGTTGGGTCAGTTGAGGAAGAACAACCTTATCTTTGTCATTGAAAATGAGTTAGTTACTGCCTAATAATAAATGCATTTGTTGTCTTTTAGAAATGATTACAGTCACAAGTGACACTGTCCAGAGTCCTTAAGTACTGATCTGTCTAGAGGGCCAGAGGCCTTGCTCTGTCTCTGCATGGTCATTAAAACCTTTGCCATATGGGGCCGGGCGCGGTGGCTCATGCCTGTAATCCCAGCACTTTGGGAGGCTGAGGCGGGCGGATCATGAGGTCAGGAGATCGAGACCATCCTGGCTAACACGGTGAAACCCTGTCTCTACTAAAAATACAAAAAATCAGCCAGGCACGGTGGTGGGCGCCTGTAGTCCCAGCTACTTGGGAGGCTGAGGCAGGAGAATGACGTGAACCCGGGAGGCGGAGCTTGCAGTGAGCCGAGATATCGCCACTGCACTCCAGCCTGGGCAACAGAACGAGACTCCGTCTCAAAAAAAAAAAAAAAAACCCTTTGCCATATGGTTAATAAGCCCTATAGACCCCACATCCTTGGCATTCAGAGCCCAGCACCTGCCTGCAACTCTCTTCATAGTATCTCATCCAATTTTGGACTTTGGGCATTTCTTACTTTCTTGCAACTTGGCTATACATTTTGTCTGACATTTCTAAGTGTTTTGTTGAGGGAGGATTTTTAGTCCCTGTTCTATGTCATAGTGCATGAAATAGAAGTCTCTCATTCCCCAAGTGGCAATAGTCTACTCTGAAATCCTAGGAATGAGAAGAACTCTTATCAGTCAGGGTCCCAGTAGAAAACAGATGGCACATTCAAACTGGGTAATTTAAGGAGTGTTTAATTGTATCATTCAGGGTTCATTCAGGAAAAGAGAAGTTGTCTATTCCGGTATGAATGGTTTTGATACAGGAATTAAGGCTTTACCCAACCCTGGAAGAACTGGAATTGGGAAGGTTCCTGATGATTTCATACTGAAGTGTCATAGTGAATGGTTCTCGTGAGCTCATGGGGAAGCCGCTATGAATCCACGTGTGCTGCATCTACCTCCAGGGAATATCATCAACCTCTACGTTTATTTTGCCTTCTAAATCTCTCTTGCACTTCTCATTGCAAACTCTAACCCAGAACCATGCTGCTAAAGGGTTCTGGAACGGAAGTTCTCAGCTTCTGATCTGCAGAGGAGAGCTTGGAAGGAGGGTGGTCACGATGCTGAGTTGACAACAATGCAGAAGATTAATAAAGGGACTGGAAAGGGTGAGCAGGGTTTGGGGAAGCCAACAGGAAAGTGAAGTCTTCTGTGCTAGCAGTAGCAGGGAGTTGTTACCTACTGCCTTCTAGACCTGAAGGGCAGAGGATGAAGTGGTTCCTGGAGTTTGGAGAAAGTGGCTATATGTTGAGGTTGCCCGATGGAGCTGCAGCCATTGGTGGAGGGTCTCAGCCAGCCTCAGTAACCTCGGGGTGGGAGCCAGGAGAGTAAGTTCCTCTCACTTTCCTCCTCTCCTGCCTCTTACCAGCCAAACTGGGTCAGAAGGCAAGGGTGGTGGGGCCTGTCAGTTGTCCTTCCATTGTCCGTTCTAGGGCATAGAGTAGGGTGGAGATGGGTGAGGAGAGGCTGTGGGGGCAAACAGGGAATATCCCTTACACAGGCTATAACTAGATGCATCATTGTCAATGTCTTGAGGATTTAAAGGCAAAGAAGGAGAATAAGCAGAAAATCATGACAGAGGATGAAAAAATTAGCTGGGGCCAGGCACAATGGCTGAATTCTAGCACTTTGGGAGGTTGAAACAGCAGGATGGCTTGAGCCCAGGAGTTTGAGACCAGCCTGGACAGCACAGTGAGACTCTGTCTCTATTTTTAAGAAATTATAAAAATTAGCCATAGTCCCAATTATTTTTTAAAAATTAGCCAGGGGTCCCATGCCTGTGGTCCCAGCTACTTGGGAGGCTGAGGCAGGAGGATTGCCTGAGCTGGGAGTTGAGGCCGCAGTGAGCCTGTGGTCATGCCACTGCACTCCAGCCTGGGCAACAGAGTGAGACTCTCTTTCCAAAAAAGAGAATGGATTGGGAAGTGGGATGTTGTTGGACATATGGAGGAAGAAGGACAGAGAAAGCCAATGTTGGTTTTCTATAAGAGGGCAAGGTCATCAGCCCTCTAATAGGATGGGGAGAACAAGTCTGCAGCTGGTTATGAGTGAGTTTGTGAGGTCGGCACATGGACTCTGGAATGTTTAGGCACAGAGTTCTGGACCTCACTAATACACCTCCACAGCCCTTCTGAAACTGTTCAGAAAGTTAGGAATATAGGAGAAAAACAGGAAAGGGAGAGTCATTATGGATGGGAAGTACATCGGTAGGCCTCTTTTTTATTTATTTATTGAGACGGAATCTCGCTTTGTTGCCCAGGCTGGAGGGCAGTGGCGCGATCTCTGCTCACTGCAACCTCTGCCTCCGAGGCTCAGGCGATCCTCCTGCCTCAGCCCCCCGAGGTGCTGGGACTACAGGCACGCATCACCATGCCTGGCTAATTTTTGTATTTTTTATAAAGATAGGGTTTCGCCATGTTGCCCAGGCTGGTCTCGAACTCCTGAGCCCAAGTGATCTGCCCGCCTTGACCTCCCAAAGTTCAGGGATTACAGGGGTGAGCCACTGTGCCCAGCCTCTTTTTTAGAGTGTGTATGCAAGTTCCTTAGGTGACTTATTCCTTTGAGGTATCAGATTTTCCTTACTATTTGTATTCATTTAAACAAAGGAATTCAGGCACTTATTATTACTAATCACAGTGCTTTAAAACTGACTACACTGATGCTTTTTTTAAGATGATGGGATAAAATTGGAATTATCTCTATTAGCTTTTTTTTTTTTTTTTTTTTTTTTTTGAGACAGGGTTACTGTCACCCAGGGTGGAGCACATTGGCACATTCATAGCTCGTTGCAGCCTCGAACTCCTGAGTTCAAGCAATCGTCCTACCTCAGCCTCTTGAGCAGCTGGGACTGTAGGCACACCTCATGACACTGTGCATTTAAAATTTTTTTTAACCCAGGCTGGTCTTGAACTCCTGACCTCAAGCGATCCTCACACCTCAGCCTCCCAAAACACTGGGATTACAGGTGTGAGCCACCACACCCAGCCTATTACTTATTTTATAGCTCCAGGTTTACATTTTCTGTCGTTGGTATATGCTAGTTGGTTTTCTTAATTGGTTTACTTGGCATTCCTAAAAAAGATAAACCTGGGCAACCACCTTCTCCTACTCAGGTGCTTCATGTATACTAAGAATATTTAGCATGACTGGAACCCTGCAGGAGGTATTTGGCCTTGGATTTTTTTTTTTTCTTTTTCATAAAGTAGAACCATAACAATAGGGAAAGGGGTATCATACAGGACAGGGAATCTGCAGGGGAAGGCTGAGAACAGACCTAAGAAGGAGTCCTTCCTGTATCTGTTTTCCCTGTCTGGAGATAGGGCAGCCTCAGGCCTGATACCCTGATGTTTAAAGTGGCCTTTAGCTCTTGGTGGCTCCTATTTAGGAAGAATATGGAGCAAGTGGCAACATTGTTTATACACTCAGATCTTCAGAAGCCTGATTTTATTTCCAGAAGGATTAATTAAACAACATGTAACATAGCTTTTTATAGAGAATATCTCTTGAGAAGGCTTTTCATTAGTTTAAACTGCTAGCTTTAATGTTTTTGTTCAATTTAGCCCCCATTCAGCCTTGTTTTATCTAGAGAAGGCCACTGGCACTGAGGAGTAGAGCAGGAGCACATCACAAGGGGAAAAAATTAATACTCATGTAGACAGAATTGCTCTTGATAGTTCTAAGAATGATGGGGAGCGGGTGAAGAGCCAGCTGGAACAGTATGGAGGTCCTTATAAGAGGGTGGCAGTGAAGGGACAGATTTATTGTGGGTGGCTACCCACTTTCAAGGCCAAACTGACAGGACAACTGGTATTTTTTACTGACCATGTGGAAGACCCTCTGGGCAATGTAATGTTAAAAACATGTCCTGCCCCCAGCCCTGCTGCCTAGGAGCTTTGTGAACTCTGCTTCTGTTTCCTCATCTGTAAAAGGAGCGTGCTAGTGTTGTGAGGATTAAATGAGTTAGTGTATGTGAAGTGCTGGAACAGTGTCAAGCAGCATCATCACCATTTGAATAGCTATTACCTACTGCCCTGCAGATTCACTGGAACAAAGCAACAGAGGCATTTTGAATAGGATGAGAAGTTTCCTTTAGATTCTGACATTATTTGCACATGAATGTTTAGCGATTGTTTTGGGTCACATGACTATATAATCAAGCTTAAGGAAGTAGACCCTTGTCTAGCTGTTTTAGACTTACGATATTTCAAGATATGGGTCAAGCTTTTAGAATTTGGGGTTACTGGCCATCTTCTGCTCTAATCAATATTTACTTTCTGAAGTCTTTCCTCAGTTCTCATGTGGACTCAAGCTGGGTCTTTCCCTTAGAACCGGACTCATGGGATTTTACAGGCAAGGTCTTCAGCATCCTCCAGCTCTGCTTTTAGGTTGATCATATTCTATTTTCACTTTCTATAATTCTCTCATGTCACTCCCACAGCACCATCTCTGAATATGTGAGTTCTAGCCTAGTTCTCTAAGGCCTAGTTCTTACACCATTTAATCATTCACACAGACTCCGGTGTGATGACGTGAGGATTACAGCAAGGAACAGTCAGTTTCTGCCCTTTAAGGAGTTTACATTTTAGTCAGAGGAGAGACAGACAGTAAACAAGTAGCATATATGTGTCTGTTTGGAGTAAGTATGGGGCCAGGCAGGGGATAAAACAGGGGAGGGAGTTACAGCCAGGGAAAAGGTGTGGAGCTGGCTGTTTTTACTAGAATGACCAGGGAATGAGTGACACTTGCCCAAAGACTGGAAGGAGAGCAAGCTATCTGGCTCTGGGAGAAGAACGTGCAGGTGAGAACAGAGTTCCTATGTAGATATGTGGTAGGCCTGTTCCAGGAACAAGGCAACTGTGGGGCTAGAGCAGAGAGTGATAGGGGAGGAGCTCAGAGAGGTCAAGGGGGTGGGAGCAGGGGCCTTTGAGACCAGTTTCCCAAAGAATGAGGTGGGAGCCACTCCAGGGATTGGAGAGGATAAATCTGACTTACCTTTAAAAAGGTTGTTGACTTTCCTGCAGGCAACTCCATTTTCAGCTCCCCTTCAGGGGAACTAGGAAACTAGCTTCATAAACCATTGTAACTAAACTAAACTGTCTATTACACCTCACTTTACCCTATATGTATTTTGGAACTTGTTTTTTTAAGTAATTGGTTCTAAAGTCACTTGGAGCAATTTGGCCTTGTCCCTTTCATCTCTGACTCTGAGGAGACAGGCCCAGGTGAAAGGGGAAAAAATCAGCTTGATTGATTAAGAGGGATTATAATAGGTAATACAAAGTGGTGGCTCAGTCAGATAACTTTGAAAGAGTCTGGGTCCTAGGCTTGATGAATTCCTATTTTCCTCTCTGTTTTTTGCTGTCCTCCAAGATGATTGCTTCTAATTCTTTCATAGTAATGGCCAGTAATAACTGTGAATTTAAAAAACTGGCAAATACAAATACCACATGGCGGGTAAAGGTGCTGGAACTTCTTGGAAACCTCCCAAAATAATCTGGAAGAATAGTCACTGCTATTCACTGGCTTAAGTCTAGCCCTTTGTACCTGGGAATTGAAGGAGAGTGGTGGAGAGAGGGGTGCTGTAGACACAGTCATATGCCAAGAAGAGGTTGACTCCAAAGTTTGTGTGGAACCCATATGGGCTGAGTGTCCTGGAGTCACCAGTCATCACAGGTAGTTGGCAATTATAGTAAAGCTGCAAAAATTTGCACTTGGACATAAGGAATTGGCTGCAGTTCTCTGGCCAGGTCTGTTTCTCAGTGTTGGGGAGTGGCGATCAGCAGCCAGTGTTAAAACCCGCAGTTCAGTGATCACCCTAATACATGAAAGCAGAGAAATGAAAGTAGTGGCTTATGCCTGTAGTCCCAAAACTTTGAGAGGCCGAGGCAGGAGGATCATTTGAAGCCAGGTGTTTGATGCTGCAGTGAACTACGACTGTGCCCCTGCACACTCCAGCCTGGGCAAGAGTGAGACCTTGTCTCAAAAAAAAAAAAAAAAAAAAAAAAAAAAGGATTTGGTTTTTCTTACCCCACACCCCCTCCCCCGCATAACTGGGAGGCTTATTGAAAAATTGCTGTTTTTCATTGACAGTAATAACACAGCCCCATATTTTAATCTGGTTGAGTTTGGGGGCTCATTTGTCTAATAAGGCATTATTAGATATATGAGACATACATGTTTTTGCTGTATTGGGTTTGTATGCACTCAGAGTGCTGCTTTTCATTCTACTACAGATTCTTGCCTCACTCTTTAGGCCATTTCTCTGCATATGTGCATTTTCAGAAGTGGATAGGATAAAATATAAAAGATGAAATTCAAGGTCAGGCGTGGTGGCTCATGCCTGTAATTCCAGCACTTTGGGAGGCCGAGGTGGGCGGATCACGAGGTCAGGAGTTCGAGACCAGCCTGGCCAGCACAGTGAAACCCTGTCTCTACTAAAAATACAAAAAATTAGCCGAGCCTGGTGGCCATGCGCCTGTAGTCCCAGCTACTCGGGAGGCTGAGGCAAGAGAATTGCTTGAACCCTGCAGGCAGAAGTTGCATTGAGCTGAGATCGTGCAATTGCACTCCAGCCTGGGTGACAGAGTGAGACTCTTGTCTCAAAAAACCAAAAAAAAAAAATAGAAATTCAAACCAGTCAGCTTCATCTGGGCCTCTGATTCATCTTTATTCCCTCCATCATCTAGACTTGATTTTATTTGTACCAAGGAGATGCGTGTCTAATGTTTTTCTTTCTTCTATTTCTAGGAGGGCTGTTGGCCTGCTGCTGTGCTGCTGAACAGTATGCAGTCCTTTCGGGAGCAAAGCAGTTACCACGGAAACCAGCAAAGCTACCCACAGGAGGTACACGGCTCATCCCGGCTAGAAGAGTTCAGCCCTCGTCAGGCCCAGATGTTCCAGAATTTTGGAGGTACAGGTGGCAGTAGTGGCAGCAGTGGCAGTGGCAGTGGTGGTGGACGACGAGGAGCAGCAGCTGCTGCGGCAGCGATGGCTAGCGAGACCTCTGGCCATCAAGGTTACCAGGGTTTCAGGAAAGAGGCTGGAGATTTTTACTACATGGCAGGCAACAAAGACCCCGTGACTACAGGAACCCCACAGCCTCCTCAGCGAAGGCCTTCTGGGCCTGTGCAGAGCTATGGACCCCCCCAGGGGAGCAGCTTTGGCAATCAGTATGGGAGTGAGGGTCATGTGGGCCAGTTTCAAGCACAGCACTCTGGCCTTGGCGGTGTGTCACATTATCAGCAGGATTACACTGGGCCTTTCTCTCCAGGGAGTGCTCAGTACCAACAGCAGGCTTCCAGCCAGCAGCAGCAGCAGCAAGTCCAGCAGTTGAGACAACAGCTTTACCAGTCCCATCAGCCCCTGCCACAGGCCACTGGCCAACCAGCATCCAGCTCATCCCATCTACAGCCAATGCAGCGGCCCTCAACTCTGCCATCCTCTGCTGCTGGTTACCAGTTAAGAGTGGGTCAGTTTGGCCAACACTATCAGTCTTCTGCTTCCTCCTCCTCCTCCTCCTCCTTCCCTTCACCACAGCGTTTTAGCCAGTCTGGACAGAGCTATGATGGCAGTTACAATGTGAATGCTGGATCTCAGTATGAAGGACACAATGTGGGTTCTAATGCACAGGCTTATGGAACACAATCCAATTACAGCTATCAGCCTCAATCTATGAAGAATTTTGAACAGGCAAAGATTCCACAAGGGACCCAACAGGGGCAGCAGCAGCAGCAACCGCAGCAACAACAACACCCTTCTCAGCATGTGATGCAGTATACTAACGCTGCCACCAAGCTGCCCCTGCAAAGCCAAGTGGGGCAGTACAACCAGCCTGAGGTTCCTGTGAGGTCCCCCATGCAGTTTCACCAGAACTTCAGCCCCATTTCTAACCCTTCTCCAGCTGCCTCTGTGGTTCAGTCTCCAAGCTGTAGTTCTACCCCATCTCCTCTCATGCAGACTGGGGAGAATCTCCAGTGTGGGCAAGGCAGTGTGCCTATGGGTTCCAGAAACAGAATTTTACAGTTAATGCCTCAACTCAGTCCAACCCCATCAATGATGCCCAGTCCTAAT
The DNA here is from genome assembly GCF_000001405.40 of Homo sapiens. Lineage (NCBI taxonomy): Eukaryota > Metazoa > Chordata > Mammalia > Primates > Hominidae > Homo > Homo sapiens. The sequence continues at coordinate 116,822 of NW_009646207.1, read as the reverse complement.
TCTCATGCTGCAGGCTTCAAAGGGTTTGGACTAGAAGGGGTACCAGAAAAGCGACTGACAGATCCTGGGTTGAGTAGTTTGAGTGCTCTGAGTACTCAAGTGGCCAATCTTCCTAACACTGTCCAGCACATGTTACTTTCTGATGCCCTGACTCCTCAGAAGAAGACCTCCAAGAGGCCCTCATCTTCCAAGAAAGCAGATAGCTGCACAAATTCTGAAGGCTCCTCACAACCTGAAGAACAGCTGAAGTCCCCTATGGCAGAGTCATTAGATGGAGGCTGCTCCAGCAGTTCAGAGGATCAAGGCGAGAGAGTGCGGCAACTAAGTGGCCAGAGCACCAGCTCTGACACCACCTACAAGGGTGGAGCCTCTGAGAAAGCTGGCTCCTCACCGGCACAAGGTGCTCAGAATGAACCCCCCAGACTCAATGCTAGTCCTGCCGCAAGAGAAGAGGCCACCTCACCAGGCGCTAAGGACATGCCATTGTCATCCGACGGGAACCCAAAGGTTAATGAGAAGACTGTTGGGGTGATTGTCTCCCGGGAAGCCATGACAGGTCGGGTAGAAAAGCCTGGTGGACAAGATAAAGGCTCCCAAGAGGATGATCCTGCAGCCACTCAAAGGCCACCTAGCAATGGTGGGGCAAAGGAAACCAGTCATGCATCACTTCCCCAGCCAGAGCCTCCAGGAGGAGGAGGGAGCAAAGGAAACAAGAATGGCGATAACAACTCCAACCATAATGGAGAAGGAAATGGCCAGAGTGGCCACTCTGCAGCGGGCCCTGGTTTTACGAGCAGAACTGAGCCTAGCAAATCTCCTGGAAGTCTGCGCTATAGTTACAAAGATAGTTTCGGGTCAGCCGTGCCACGAAATGTCAGTGGCTTTCCTCAGTATCCTACAGGGCAAGAAAAGGGAGATTTCACTGGCCATGGGGAACGAAAGGGTAGAAATGAAAAATTCCCAAGCCTCCTGCAGGAAGTGCTTCAGGGTTACCACCACCACCCTGACAGGAGATATTCTAGGAGTACTCAAGAGCATCAGGGGATGGCTGGTAGCCTAGAAGGAACCACAAGGCCCAATGTCTTGGTTAGTCAAACCAATGAATTAGCTAGCAGGGGCCTTCTGAACAAAAGCATTGGGTCTCTATTAGAAAATCCCCACTGGGGCCCCTGGGAAAGGAAATCAAGCAGCACAGCTCCTGAAATGAAACAGATCAATTTGACTGACTATCCAATTCCCAGAAAGTTTGAAATAGAGCCTCAGTCATCAGCACATGAGCCTGGGGGTTCCCTCTCTGAAAGAAGATCAGTGATCTGTGATATTTCTCCACTAAGACAGATTGTCAGGGACCCAGGGGCTCACTCACTGGGACACATGAGTGCCGACACCAGAATTGGGAGGAATGACCGTCTCAATCCAACTTTAAGTCAGTCGGTCATTCTTCCTGGTGGTTTGGTGTCCATGGAAACCAAGCTGAAATCCCAGAGCGGGCAGATAAAAGAGGAAGACTTTGAACAGTCTAAATCTCAAGCTAGTTTCAACAACAAGAAATCTGGAGACCACTGCCATCCTCCTAGCATCAAGCATGAGTCTTACCGCGGCAATGCCAGCCCTGGAGCAGCAACCCATGATTCCCTTTCAGACTATGGCCCGCAAGACAGCAGACCCACGCCAATGCGGCGGGTCCCTGGCAGAGTTGGTGGTCGGGAGGGCATGAGGGGTCGGTCCCCTTCTCAATATCATGACTTTGCAGAAAAATTGAAAATGTCTCCTGGGCGGAGCAGAGGCCCAGGGGGAGACCCTCATCACATGAATCCACACATGACCTTTTCAGAGAGGGCTAACCGGAGTTCTTTACACACTCCCTTTTCTCCCAACTCAGAAACCCTGGCCTCTGCTTATCATGCAAATACTCGGGCTCATGCTTATGGGGACCCTAACGCAGGTTTGAATTCTCAGCTGCATTATAAGAGACAGATGTACCAACAGCAACCAGAGGAGTATAAAGACTGGAGCAGCGGTTCTGCTCAGGGAGTAATTGCTGCAGCACAGCACAGGCAGGAGGGGCCACGGAAGAGTCCAAGGCAGCAGCAGTTTCTTGACAGAGTACGGAGCCCTCTGAAAAATGACAAAGATGGTATGATGTATGGCCCACCAGTGGGGACTTACCATGACCCCAGTGCCCAGGAGGCTGGGCGCTGCCTAATGTCTAGTGATGGTCTGCCTAACAAGGGCATGGAATTAAAGCATGGCTCCCAGAAGTTACAAGAATCCTGTTGGGATCTTTCTCGGCAAACTTCTCCAGCCAAAAGCAGCGGTCCTCCAGGAATGTCCAGTCAAAAAAGGTATGGGCCGCCCCATGAGACTGATGGACATGGACTAGCTGAGGCTACACAGTCATCCAAACCTGGTAGTGTTATGCTGAGACTTCCAGGCCAGGAGGATCATTCTTCTCAAAACCCCTTAATCATGAGGAGGCGTGTTCGTTCTTTTATCTCTCCCATTCCCAGTAAGAGACAGTCACAAGATGTAAAGAACAGTAGCACTGAAGATAAAGGTCGCCTCCTTCACTCATCAAAAGAAGGCGCTGATAAAGCATTCAATTCCTATGCCCATCTTTCTCACAGTCAGGATATCAAGTCTATCCCTAAGAGAGATTCCTCCAAGGACCTTCCAAGTCCAGATAGTAGAAACTGCCCTGCTGTTACCCTCACAAGCCCTGCTAAGACCAAAATACTGCCCCCACGGAAAGGACGGGGATTGAAATTGGAAGCTATAGTTCAGAAGATTACATCCCCAAATATTAGGAGGAGCGCATCTTCGAACAGTGCGGAGGCTGGGGGAGACACGGTTACGCTTGATGATATACTGTCTTTGAAGAGTGGTCCTCCTGAAGGTGGGAGTGTTGCTGTTCAGGATGCTGACATAGAGAAGAGAAAAGGTGAGGTGGCTTCGGACCTAGTCAGTCCAGCAAACCAGGAGTTGCACGTAGAGAAACCTCTTCCAAGGTCTTCAGAAGAGTGGCGTGGCAGCGTGGATGACAAAGTGAAGACAGAGACACATGCAGAAACAGTTACTGCCGGAAAGGAACCCCCTGGTGCCATGACATCCACAACCTCACAGAAGCCTGGTAGTAACCAAGGGAGACCAGATGGTTCCCTGGGTGGAACAGCACCTTTAATCTTTCCAGACTCAAAGAATGTACCTCCAGTGGGCATATTGGCCCCTGAGGCAAACCCCAAGGCTGAAGAGAAGGAGAACGATACAGTGACGATTTCACCGAAGCAAGAGGGTTTCCCTCCAAAGGGATATTTCCCATCAGGAAAGAAGAAGGGGAGACCCATTGGTAGTGTGAATAAGCAAAAGAAACAGCAGCAGCCACCGCCTCCACCCCCTCAGCCCCCACAGATACCAGAAGGTTCTGCAGATGGAGAGCCAAAGCCAAAAAAACAGAGGCAAAGGAGGGAGAGAAGGAAGCCTGGGGCCCAGCCGAGGAAGCGAAAAACCAAACAAGCAGTTCCCATTGTGGAACCCCAAGAACCTGAGATCAAACTAAAATATGCCACCCAGCCACTGGATAAAACTGATGCCAAGAACAAGTCTTTTTACCCTTACATCCATGTAGTAAATAAGTGTGAACTTGGAGCCGTTTGTACAATCATCAATGCTGAGGAAGAAGAACAGACCAAATTAGTGAGGGGCAGGAAGGGTCAGAGGTCACTGACCCCTCCACCTAGCAGCACTGAAAGCAAGGCGCTCCCGGCCTCGTCCTTTATGCTGCAGGGACCTGTTGTGACAGAGTCTTCGGTTATGGGGCACCTGGTTTGCTGTCTGTGTGGCAAGTGGGCCAGTTACCGGAACATGGGTGACCTCTTTGGACCTTTTTATCCCCAAGATTATGCAGCCACTCTCCCGAAGAATCCACCTCCTAAGAGGGCCACAGAAATGCAGAGCAAAGTTAAGGTACGGCACAAAAGTGCTTCTAATGGCTCCAAGACGGACACTGAGGAGGAGGAAGAGCAGCAGCAGCAGCAGAAGGAGCAGAGAAGCCTGGCCGCACACCCCAGGTTTAAGCGGCGCCACCGCTCGGAAGACTGTGGTGGAGGCCCTCGGTCCCTGTCCAGGGGGCTCCCTTGTAAAAAAGCAGCCACTGAGGGCAGCAGTGAAAAGACTGTTTTGGACTCGAAGCCCTCCGTGCCCACCACTTCAGAAGGTGGCCCTGAGCTGGAGTTACAAATCCCTGAACTACCTCTTGACAGCAATGAATTTTGGGTCCATGAGGGTTGTATTCTCTGGGCCAATGGAATCTACCTGGTTTGTGGCAGGCTCTATGGCCTGCAGGAAGCGCTGGAAATAGCCAGAGAGATGGTGAGTATGAGAAATCTCTTACCAGCTTGGGATTTTTATTTCATTTGGTTCCTTTTCTTGCATGTTTTTGTTCTTACATGTCACATGATTATTCCTCCAAATTAAAGTGCCTATGCCCATGTGATGGACAGAAAATGAAATAGGTAATTTGGAAGATTTGTATAGACTTCTAAAATCGTTTTTCATTTTTTGAAATGTATAATGCTTATGAAGCATATTATTATATTTCAAGTTTCTTGGGCCACATCTTTTCTAACGCACACTTTCCAGTTAGGATATTTATTCTTTGGATCTGTTTCATAACTTATCCTGGGGCAGATCATCAACATCATCATCTTCATTTCTTTCTCTCCTCTATTGAATGTTCTGTTTCCTGAATCCCATTTCTTCCTCATTCTTAAAGTGAGCCTTCATTTAAGGGCGTGCATCATCCTTTAGTAGTTTTGTGAGAAAGGGTGTGTGGGAGTGTAAAAATGTTGAGATCCTATATATCTGAGCATGACTTTATCCTAGCCTCATGCTTAATTGAGAGTTGGCTAGGTGTGGAATTCTAGATTGGAAGTGATTTTTCTCTCACTGTCTTGCAGTCGTTCTTCCTGGTTTGTCCACTAGCTTCCAGTGCTGCAGTTGAGAAGACTGCCATTCTAATTTTTCATCCCTTGATGCATGTTCTGTTTTTCTTCTGGAAAGTTTGAGGATCTTCTCCTTTTCCCTAGGGTCTTGAGATGTCAAAATGATAGGTCTTGACTAGGTCATTTCATGGTTGTGTTGGCTACTCTATGAGATCTTATGTACGCTGATGTCTTTCAGTTCAGGCAATTTGTCATGTGGTAGTTCTTTGAAAATTTCCTTCCCTCTATTTTCTCTGCTCTCTTTATAATTCCTGTTAATATAAGGCATTTTACCTCCTGGATTGATCCGCTGTTTTTATCTTTTCTCCTCTGTTTTATGTTTTATCTCATTATCTTTTTGTTCTGATTTCTCTATGCTTTCTTCAGCTTTATCATCTAATCTTTTTTGTATGTGGGTTTTGTTTTGGTTTTGTTTTGTTTTGTTTTGTTTTGTTGTCACTCAGGCTGGAATGCAGTGGTGCGATCACAGCTTACTGCATTCTCGAACTCTGGGGCTCCCTGGTACCTGGGACTAAAGGTGTGTGCCACCATGCCCAGCTAATATTTATATTTTTTGCAGAAACAAGGTCTCACTGTGTTGCCCAGAGTGGTCTCAAACTGCTGGACTCAAGCAATCCTTCCACTTCGGTCTTCTAAAGTACCAGGATTATAGGCATGTGCCACAAGCCACAGTGCCCAGCCTTCTAGCCTTTTATTTACTTATTTTTTTTCTTGATATTTTGAAGAGCTTTTTTTTTCTCTGAATGTACTGACTTTTAAAGAATAATCAGAGCCTAGTTGATGGCTATAATCGTTTCTCTTGCTTTTTGAATACATTATAACGTATTTTTTGTTTTTGTTTTTGTTTCAGTTTCATGCCCTTACCCAGGCTGGAGTGCAGTGATGTGATGATGGCTCACTGCAGCCTCCAACCACTGGGCTCAAGGGATCCTCCCAAGTAGCTGGACCACAGGTGCATGCCAGTACACCTGGCTAAGTTTTTTACTTTTTGTAGAGACAGCATCTCACTTTGTTGCCCAGGCAGGCTGGTCTCACCACCTGAGCTTAAGCAATCCTCCCACGTCAGCCTTCCAAAGTGCTGGAATTACAGGCGTGAGCCACTACACTTGGCCTGTACTATAATTTTTAAAAATCTTTGTCTGTTTCCTATTTTCTCTTTCTTGTTAGAGGTTCTTCAGATGTCTTGATTTTTTTTTCTTTATTGAGATGGGGTTTCGCTCTTGTTGCCCAGGCTGGAGTGCAATGGCGCAATCTCAGCTCACCGCAACCTCCGCTTCCCAGGTTCAAGCGATTCTCTTGCCTCAGCCTCCTGAGTAGCTGGGATTAGAGGCATGCGCCACCATGCACAGCTAATTTTGTATTTTTAGAAGACATGAGGTTTCTCCACGTTGGTCAGTCTGGTCTCGAGCTCCTGACCTCAGGTGATCCGCCCACCTCGGCCTCCCAAAGTGCTGGGATTACAGGCTTGAGCCACTGCACCCAGCCTTGATTTATATTTTTAAGAGAGAAAGAGATGTTTTAAAAAATGACTTGAAGCTCTCTGTTACAGTATGGGCCAGGCTTGCTAGCCTGTAGTCCTCTCCGTAGAATAATAAGGCAGCCAGCCAGCATATGGGTCTTTTTTCTGAGTTGAGTTTTCCCAGAGGAAAAAAAAACATTTTTTTTTTTGTTCCAGAGAAAAATCTTGAGATTTCCTGTCTAGAGATGCAAGCTTGGCTGCCAGCGTCCTAAAAGCCAAGTGGAGAAGAGGATGGTAGGGTTGTGTGGGTGGGGATATGGGCTCATGATTCAGTGCGCGGACTTTGACAATCTCCCGCCTGTTTTCAGTGGATGAGAACAGTTACCTGGTTGAACTGGGTTAAGGATCTAACTCCTCTTAGAAACTTTGGGCTAATGCTCTATTTTTCAGCCCCATGTTGCACCCCCACTTACTGAGGCCTCCCCAAGCTCTGTGCCCTAAAGTGGCTGGCTTTCTGGGGGCTCCTCCACTGCACTCATCATTACTGTCTGCTTCCTTGCAGTGCACAGAATCACTGTCACTCACTTCATCTCTCATGTTTCCAGCTTCCCATTGCTCATGGTGTCATGAGTTTATCTTGCAAGTTTATCCACTTTTTCGTGGGAAGGGATCAGATGGATGTACAACTGTATGTTTAGTAGTCTACCATATTATTTATAACCTTCTGGCAAAAAGAAGTGCCCATAGACTATAGTAAAAATTATATTGAATGTGAAATATATATTTGAAATTAGAACATTTTAATTCAGTCATGCAAGGAGCTTGCCCTTTACTCTTATCATGTCCCCTATCTCCCAATTACGGTCTTTTCTTTGTGCCTCCTTCCCTGTCTCCATTATTAACATCACGGTGAAACTCCAAGTTTGAGGTAGAAGATTCACTTCCCCTAAGAAGTTTATACACAATGACATTTTAAAATGCAAAGATCCTAGGAGGATGTAACATTTAAGACCCTCAAGTACAAAATTCTTTAGTCAAATTTGAGCGCTCAAAATAATCCGTTAATCATCCTCTTGTCAAAGTTGAGTTCTTGCTTCCCAACTTTCCTTGGAAAGTCACAGTATTTGGTGGGTTTTTTGTTGTTTGTTTTTTGAGACAGAATCTCACTTTGTTGTGGGGTTTCACCATGTTGGCCAGGCTGGTCTGGAACTCCTGACCTCAGATCATCCATCTGCCTTGACCTCCTAGAGTGTTGGGATTACAGGTGTGGGTCACTGCGCCCAGCCTGTTTATTGCTTTTTGATGTGCATATGTGTATGTGACCATCTGACAGTGTTTTCGTTATTTCAACATTTATTATTAACATATCTCAGCCCAGTTTTTTTGTGTAAACTTTTAGGTGTTCTATAGCAATAATTGATAATCAGTAATCAGGCTAAATCTTCCCCAGCAAATCTCTAGATCCTGTGTCTCAATTCAGGTCTTGGGCCGAGCATGATGGCTCACGCCTGTAGTCCCAGCACTTTGGGAGGCCGAGGTGGGCAGATCGCCTGAGGTCAGGAGTTCAAGACCAGCCTGGCCAACATGGTCAAACCCCGTGTCTACTAAAAATATGCAAAAATTAGCTGGACATGGTGACAGGCACCTGTAATCCCAGCTACTCGGGAGGCTGAGGCAGGAGAATGGCTTGAGCCTAGGAGACGGAGGTTGCAGTGAGCCAAGATGGTGCCACTGCACTCTAGCCTGGGCGACTGAGTGGGATTCAATCTCTAAAAAAAATAAGAAAAAAGTTAGGCTTGTTGTCTCTTTGAGCTGATGTACCACTATCACTATAAGATCCGTTTCTAGCTTTTATTTACCTAGCTTTTATTCTACTTTTCTCAGTGCACTCAAGGACAAATTAAAATTACACTAACTTGCCTTTTATTTAATTTGACAGATGATGTTTCAATTGTCCAGGATACTTTGAGTCTAGTTTTATCTTACTAGGTTTTAGCAGATAGATGCATTCAGTTTTGGTCTTGCTTAATGAGCATGCCCTTAATCCTATCATGTAAGATAAAGTCACATATATTTCATTAGAGATCCATTTTGGCCTATGTATTTATCAGGTGTTTTGACAAGCACGATGTTATATTAAAATATTGGGAAGTCCTCAAGAGACATTGCTCCTCTCCCTGTGTCACACTACTCTGAAAATTGCCGAAAACTAGAACATTTCTATATTTAAAAATGGTGTTTACTTCCCTTCCTTTTTCCCTTCCTTTTTCCCTTCCCACAAGTGTGGGACTTGTGAATCTATTCATTTCAGCACAAGTCCCCTTTGCTTCTGTCCAACATTGACCACTGTTTGCCTTGGTATAATTGTGTATGAGAATCACAATGACCTCTGACATGAATGATATTACAGAGGTAATTGCCTCTGAATGGGTATGGATATAACTTGGTATGTACAAATCACCTTTGAGACATTAAGGAATGCCAAGGCGTGCAGGGATGTGACAGAAGGTAGATCTGGTGGCCATGGATCCCTTGAGGCTGGATAGCCCTACTAGTGGGGGAGTCGGGGAGTCTTTGCTTGTTCCCCTCTCATAGAAGGTGCCCCTCCCAAATTTTTCCAACCCCCCTTGGGAAACTTTTAATCTTTTTTTTTTACCTGACAGTATATGTTAACTGGTTTTAGGTTAATTTTTATTTTCTATTTTTATTTTTATTTTGAGATGAGTCTTGCTCTGTTGCCAGGCTGGAGTGCAGTGGCACAATCTTGGCTCACTGCAACCACCTCCTCGTGGGTTCAAGTGACTCTCCTGCCTCAGCCTCCCAAGTAACTGGGACTGCAGTCATGCACCACCACACCTGGCTAATTTTTGTATTTTTAATAGAGACAGGGTTTCACCATGTTGGCCAGGCTGATCTCAAACTCCTGATCTCAAGTGATCCACCTGCCTCAGCCACCCAAAGTGCTGGGATTACAGGCCTGAGCCACTGTGCCTGGCCAATTTTCTTTAAATTTCTGAATCAATATATTAAAGATTATATTTAGGGTTTTTTTTCCTTGATTTTTTGAGACAGGGTCTCACTCTGTTGTCCAGGCTGGAGTGCAGTGGCATGATCTCGGCTCACGGCAACCTCCGCCTCCTGTATTCAAGTGATTCTCCTGTCTCAGCCTCCCCAGTAGCTGGAATTACAGGTGCGTGCCACCACACCCAGCTAATTTTTGTATTTTTAGTAGAGACGGGATTTGAGGATGTTGGCCAAGCTGGCCTTGAACTCCTGACCTTAAGGAATCCACCCTCCTCGGCCTCCCAAAGTACTGGGATTATAGGTGTGAGCCACTGCACCTGGCCAGTTTAGGGGCTTATTTTTAATACAAGTTTAAATAATGGATAATTATTTACTTCCCCCATCTAACAGACTCACATCTTTCTTAAATTTACTTTAAATTGTGATGGAAAACATGATTTGGAAAATATAAAATAGATTGATTACATTATGAAAATGAAATCACATATTAAAACATCAAAACAGCCAAGTCAGAAAGGTAGGCTCTCTAGTTTAACTGTAAAATAGAGCCACCAGTCTACATGCTCTCTAAATTCTCAACTATATGTTCCTTGAAGGTGGTCATTTCCAGGGCCTGGCAAGGCCCCCATCCTGGTGAAGGCTCCCTTCAACTCCTGTTCTCTGCTCCTAACTCCAGTACCTCACCCCCACCCCTACCTGATTGTTCTTCCTCTGTGCTTGCTACAACTGCCCTTTCTCACATTCCCACACTCCCTTTCTCCATTCTCCTCTCCCTCCCAGCCCCCTCTCTCTGGCAAGCACTTGCTTTTTGTTACTTCTGCTGGGACCCATCTTCATTTCTCACTCTCTAGGCGGTGGCGCCCTGTTCCCATGGCTTTCAGTATATAGCAGAGACTTGTATCTAATTTACCTGTTTTTCTTAACACTGTGTGGTATATCTTTTTATATCACTGCATGATGACATTGACACTAAATTTCCAGAGAAAAGGTTCATTTTCTTTCAGGATTTCGTCCAAATTCTAAGGAATCAAGTGAAATTTTCAGTTTTGAATTTTATTGCATATATTACCTTACAGAATAAATCATGACAAATTGAAGGACTCAAATTTTACTACGATTTATTTCTTGACTTTTTTTTTCTCTCTAGAGGTAGGGGGATGATGTGGGGAGCATTACACTTGATTTTAAAGTAAAATTTATAAGGAGTACACGATTCTTTGGCCAAGGCTGGGCAAGGTGGCTTATGCTTGTAATCCTAGCACTTTGGATTACCTGAGCCCAGGAGTTTGAGACCAGCCTGGGCAACATGGAGAAACCCTGTCTCTACCAAAAATACGAAAATTAGCCAGTCTTAATGACCTAGTCTCAAAATAAATAAGTAGAGAAAAATATTCAAAAAAATCCCAAAGGACCATAAACAAAAATATTGATAAACAAGCCACAACACACAAGTTATTATATGTTAATTACTCATCCCTGGGATGTTAAACTAGTTATTGCTAATCTGTTAAAAGAGCTAACAGCAAATAGTATGTAAAAGCAGGCATCCCTTTCAATTCAACAAATATCTTGAGTCTCTACTGGAAAACCAGTTGAAATGTGAAGTTAAACTCCTGTCAGGGAACTTGCAGGGTGACTCAGCCTCAGCCTCGGCCCCTTAGCTGGTGTGTGGTTAGAGAAGCTCTATGTCAAGGCTTCTGAACTTCATGCAGGAAAGTTTGTGTGATTCTGCAGAAAGCAATGCCTTGCCGCACACAGGTCCTGCACTAGGGCTTCGATTTTTCCAAAAGATACGGCTTGCTTCATCCAATACTGTTTCAGGAAAATGGAGGTTCCTCCTCCGCACCCCAAGCCAAGGCCAATTTCGCGGGACCCTCAAGGCTTGCTACTGCAGATCAGATTCGTCCAATTTATTGGAAAAACGTATGAGAAGAGAAAATCAAGGCAGCTAAACACTTGCCCCGGAAGGTCCTGGCTTTTGCCGTTCTCCTCAACAGCTGTGTAGAGGGGAGGCCTGGGTGAGAGCCCCAGAGTCACACTGCTTCATATGAATTCCAGGACTTGTTGTTTCCTTGCGAGGTCACTAGCTCAAGTCACTTAACCTCTGTGCTTCACTGTCCTTACCATACAAAGTATGAAAACTGACAGCACCTACAGTAAAGAGGTATGTTAGGAGGATTAAATGTGTTGCTCTTTGGAAAGTGCTTAGAGCAGTGTTTGGCACATTTCAACAGTTAGGTGGTTTCAGAGGAAATGCAAGCTGCAGACTGGTGACCGCCCTCAGATGGTGTCCTCCCTCATTGTTGTCTTAGTAAAGATGTGTTCCTGTTAGCAAGCTCACTCAGTACTCTATAGCTTATGTTGTAGTTCCATCATAGTGCAGCTAGCTCATCTTGCCAGGGGTGTTCAGAACTTAATCTCTTTGAAAGTTGTCCTTGGTGGAAATAAAAACATTATCTCCTTTTTACTCTTGTTGGAAACTCAAGTTTGCTGCGGGGGGAAGGGTGGCAGGGTGTGAGGTATTTCAGGTGCAGTATTAATATTATGTCTTATGAAATAGCATCAGCCAACACGAACACACTCAGGAATTATATCTCTCAAAAGACAGAAGGCAAAAGGGAGGGACTAAAATCTACCTTGCATGTTAAGTAAAAGCATTAACATTCTAGTGAGATGACAAAGTTTTGATAGCGATTATCTAAAGCGAAAGAAAAGAATCTGCCTGGTAGTAAAGTTGGGTTTTTTTGGTTTGGTTTTGTTTTTTTTTTGAGACTGAGTCTTCCTCTATCCCCCAGGCTGGACCGCAATGGCACAATTTCGGCTCACTGAAACCTTCGCCTCCCAGGTTCAAGCAATTCTCCTGCCTCAGCCTCCTGAGTAGCTGAAGTTGCAGGCACCTGCCACCATGCCTGGCTAATTTTTGTATTTTTAGTAGAGACGGGGTTTCACCATGTTGGCGAGGCTGATCTCGAACTCCTGACCTCAACTGATCCGTCTGCCTCAGCCTCCCGAAGTGTTGGGATTACAGGCATGAGCCACCGCGCCTGGTCTAAAGTTGTTTTTTTAAGTAAACTTTTTAACATGTCAGCACTAAAAGGCCCAAAATAATTAAGAATTCTGAGTTTGTGTGGTGTATCCACAGAATGATTCAGGACAAATACTTCCCTATAGCATTCCACCTCCTCCCCTAAAACAGTGAATATACTGAGAATATGTGAACTCCAGAGGGCTTGTATTAGTCCGTAAAGAAATACCTGAGGCTGGGTGATGTATGAAGAAAAGAGGTTGAATTGGCTCACAGTTCTGGAAGCTGTATAGGAAGCATGATGCCTGCATCTGCTCAGCTTCTGGGGAGGCCTCAGGAAACTTACAGTCATGGAGGGAGGTAGAGGGGGAGCAGGAAGGCTTCTTGCATGGCAGGAGCAAGACAGAGTGAGGTGCGAGGTGTTGCACACTTTCAAACAACCAGGTCTTGTGAGAACTCAGTATCACAGGAATAGCACCCACATGATCCAGCCACCTCCCACCAGGCCCTGCCTCCAGCATTGGGTGCTACAGTTCAACCTGAGATTTGGTGAAGTCACAGATCCAAACCATATCAGGGATCTATTGTATTTGAAGGATTTAGCCTTTAATTTACGGGCAGTGCAAAACCATTAGTGATTTCTAAGCGTGTAAGTCACATGTACAGGTTTGTGTTTTATAAAGGAAACTCAGGAAATAAGTAGGGAGACATCAGAAGCAGACAGGTCATTCGAGAGGCTGTGGGATTAATTTGTGCAAGAGCTGGTAAGGACCGAGTATGTGGTAGAAACGGGAGTCAGAAGGATTGGATGGATCTGAGAAACGTTTTAGGGATTCAAAGTTGATAGACTTTTTTTTTTTTTTTTTTTTGAGACGAAGTCCTGCTCTGTCACCCATGCTGGAGTGCAGTGGCACGTTCTCGGCTCACTGCAACCTCCACCCCCCAGTTTCAAACATCCTCCCAGGCCTCAGCCTCCCAAGTAGCTGGGATTACAAGCATGTGCCACCATGCCGACTAATTTTTGTATTTTTTAGTAGAGATGGGGTTTGACCATGTTGGCCAGGCTGGCCTCGAACTCCTGACCTCAGGCGATCCACCTGCCTCCCAAAGTGCTGGGATTATAGGCGTGAGTCACCACACCCGGCTAAAGTTGATAGATTTTAAACACTGACTAGATGCAGCAGGTTTGGGAAAGTGAGGAGGCAGAGGTCAAGGATGAAGTTGAGGTTTCTAGCTCCAGCAAGTCAGTGGGCGAGGTGAGGGGTCATCAACATACCAATAACAGAAAGAAGGGTTGAAGAAAAGAAATTTAGGTTTGCGTTTAATATGTATTAGACAAGAAAATATTAGATATGAAGGCAGTTCAGCCTAATATACATGTTTAGATAAGTCAACACTAGATTCTAATACAGCATTTTAAATAACTGCTTGCTTTTTATTTAGCCTTTCAAATAGATGTAAACTGATAAATTTTTAAATCCAAATTGAAAGAAAGTGGAGAGAAAAATAGGAAATCATGAGGTCTGTGTCATGTTTATAAAAAAAAACCCAGAGAATCCCAAAAAGATACCAAAAAAATTTAAGCTATCATCATAATTATTCCTAAAATGTAATTGGAAGGGGAAACAGAAAGGATAACTTGCTGTTTGGGCTTTTTTTTTTTTTTGGACAGAGTCACTCTTGCCCAGTCTGGAGTGCAGTGGTGCGATCCCAGCTCACTGCAACCTCTGCCTCCCAGGTTCAAGCGATTCTCCTGTCACCACATCTGGCTAATTTTTTTTTTTTTTTTTTTTTTTTTTTTTTTGTAGAGATGGGGTTTTGCCATGTTAGCCAGTCTGGTCTCGAACTGCTGACCTCAGGTGATCCACTTGCCTTGGCCTCCCAAAGTGTCGGGATTACAGGCCTGAGCCACCACACCTGGCCTGTTTAGACTTTTAAAATAATTTTCCCAAGATACTGACAATGTGGTGAAAAACCAAGACTGTATTTAATTACACTGAGAAAGAGCACATGTCAAACATTTTTATGGGCCTGAAGAAAACCTCTCTGTTGTGCACAGTTGTACCCTATTTCCTCAGTTTCAGAATGCAGCCTCGTGCCTTTATGCACTGAATTGAGGCTAGGCAAAGTGCTACCACATGACTCTATGGTGAAATGGGCTCTGAAGTGGGAATCGTCGCTCTGCCCATAGGAAGGAGCAAGAAACATGGGAAAAGGCAGAAGAAAAGAAAAATTGGCCACAGGGTTTAGATGAGGTGCTGGCACCATCTGTGCTGGTCAGGGTTCCCATTTGAACTCCTGAGTCATGAAAAAGATTTACATATTATTTACATAAAGATAACAGTATTATTCTTATTGTAAAACTAATGGAACTGTTCGTAGAAGAATGCCGCAATCCTGATAACCCAACATATCTGACTCTTCTAGATTTTGTCCATGTGCTGATTATTTCACTAGATATAATAGTATAATACAGTTAGCTTCCCATATTCATGGGTTCTGCATTCTTAGATTCAATCAACAGCAGATTGGAAATATTTGGAGGGGGCAGGGCGCAGTGGCTCACGCCTGTAATCCCAGAACCTTGGGAGGCCAAGGTGGGCAGATCACCTGAGGTCAGGAGTTCAAGACCAGCCTGGCCAACACAGTGAAACCCTGTCTCTACTAAAAATACAAAAAAAATTAGCTGGACGTGGTGGCGGGCGCCTGTAGTCCCAGCTACTCGGGAGGCTGAGGCAGGAGAATGGCGTGAACCCAGGAGGCGGAGCTTGCAGTGAGCCAAGATCACGCCACTGCACTCCAGCCTGGGCGACACAGCGAGACTGTCTCAAAAAAAAAAAAAAAACTTGGAAAAATTCCATCTGTTCTGAATATATACAGACTTTTTTCTTCTTGTCATTATTCTCTAAATGAGAAAGTATAACAACTTTGCATAGCATTAGCTACATCATATTAGGTATCATACATAATCTAGAGATGGCTTAAAGTATACAGGAGGATGTGCTTAGCTTATATACAAATACTGTGCTATTTTATATAAGCGACTTGGGCATCCGTGGAGTTTGGTATTGGCAGAGGTCCTGGAACCAGTCCTCCATGGATGCCAGGAATGACTGTAATGACTGCTAACATGTACTGAATGCTTTCTAAGCACTATACGTGAATTACCACATTTAGACCTCAAACCAACCCTTTCTGGTGGGTCTCATCACACTCCAGGTGAGATTTGAGGTCCAGAGAGGAGCTTGCCCAGGATTCAAACCTTGTGAGTCTCCATCATCACAGTGTAGATACAAGTCTGTGTTGCTTTTTTTACTTTATTTTGTAATTTTAATTTTCATTCTAATCTGTGATTTCTTTTTTCTTAGTTTAGCGTGAGTATAATGTAATTTATTCAAGTACCGCACTTTTATTGAGGTGGTTTCCAGTTAATTTACTACTTTCTATGGAGCAATAAGCATTTTTATTTTTCGATTTAAAGAAAAATTTATGGCTGTTGAACTGCTAGGTCAAGAAGGGCCAACATTGTTATGGTTTTTGATAGGCATTGTCTTGTGGTTTAATCAACAAAGGGTCATAACAAGGCATGAGCATCCATGAGGACAGGTGAGCCTGTTTACTGCTACCTCAGTGGCATTGGACCTTCTTTTTAAACTTTTAGTTCCTTTTCATTTATTTTATTAGTGATATTAATGTTGTTCCCTGTTAATTTTGTGTTTAATGTCCATTAATTGTTAATTTGGAATTTTATTATTCTCAATTTGTTTTTCTGTACCTATTTCTCATAGCCTGAATCACTTCTCTGGAAAATTGAGATGTATGGAACTCCTTTCTTCAGGGGTGCCCCTAAATTAGGCATTAGTAGAGCTCTTAAAAAGTTTCTCATCCCAGCCGGGCACGGTGGCTCACGCCTGTAATCCCAGCACTTTGGCAGGCCGAGACGGGCGGATCACAAGGTCAGGAGATCGAGACCATCCTGGCTAACACGGTGAAACCCTGTCTCTACTAAAAATACAAAAAATTAGCCGGGCGTGGTGGCGGGCACCTGTAGTCCCAGCTACTCTGGAGGCTGAGGCAGGAGAATGGCATGAACCCGGGAGGCGGAGCTTGCAGTGAGCCGAGATCGCGCCACTGCCCTCCAGCCTGGGCGACACAGCGAGACTCCATCTCAAAAAAAAAAAAAAAAAAGTTTCTCATCTGTAAATTAGATGATGATAGAGGACTGTAAAGGATAAAACTAACTTTGCTGGAAATCAAGTAGCCTCCTTGGTGGAGGCTAAACTATTCCTGGAAGCTTTTGAGTTGATGTGGTTTTAAAGGAAGCAAATATTATGAGCTACCTAGCATCAGCCTTAGAATTGTGTCCTCATGTGTTGGTTTAGTAAAGATAACCCTCCTGTCTCTAAACTTATTGGTGGAAATTAAACTGAAGAGAAAATTCAGCCCTATCTGATGCTGTCCACGTAAACCTGGTAATAGTGGAGTGATTTTGGTTGTATGCACTTAAGAGCTGACACTTAATTTGAAGATGTTGGCAGCATACTGCTGTCAGTTAACGTGCCTTATGAAAATAGAATTGAAGAACTGCTACACAGGCAGATAGACAATACCAGGGTCAACAGAATAACAAATTTCCAGCCGAACTCAAATCTGAAGTGGTGCTAGTCCCTTCTGATGGACTAGCACCACCAGTGGGACCTGGGTGCCCTGACATTGTTCAGCGGTGGAGGCATTTCATCTCTGTTATGTGTTTCTCACGGAGCAGCTAGTGGAAGTTTCTAGTAAAATGTATATTCATCTAACAAGTCTCAGGCCTATTCATTGTGGCTGGCTCCCTAGGGGTGCCATGTGGTTCCAGACTTTGAAAGCTGTGATTGTGAACCTTAAATCTTAGTTCAGACACATGTCAGGTGAAGGCCTCTGGTTTGCTTGAAAGTTATTTTTGTTTTTTCATACAAAGCTGGTTGCTAGGATAATAGTGTAATTCATTAGGATAAGTGATAGGACAGTTCCCAAATTATTCTGTTTGCTTGTTTCTAGGTAGGGTTCTTTATTGAAGTAATAAAAATATACTAATGCTTTGAAAGGGCAACCCCTCAAAAATGAAATGTATTTGTTTGCTGATATAAGACTTTGTGTCTCCCTCCTCTTCAGAGAGCAGGCCTGGGCATTTTAATCCACTATTATTTGTGAAAAGCACATCGATTTAAAACCAGCTCACCTGTCACCTCATTCCCCAGGCAGCAAGTGCTGCCCAGCTGCACTCCCATTTTACCTGTTACACCACTTAGCACCCATGGGTCAAATCCCCCAAGTCACTCCAATAGTGGCAGGTCTGAGTGCCTCCTCACTGAGGGTAGGACAGACCTCTGAGACCTTACTGACTCAGCCTTCCCTTTGCAGGTTACACAGACCCAACAGTATTCAGAGCCTATGCCTCCCAGCACTTATGCAAATGCCCAGCTAAGCTGGAGCTGCTCTTGGGGTGACTACCAGCTTATCTGATTGTCGTCCTCACCAGATAGGCTCCCCAAGGGCTGAGTTGGCCCCAGAGCCCACCCTAATGCCTGGCATGGGGGGTGATCAGTGCAGGGTAAATTTGTGACTGACAGGTTCTTTAAGAGACACGTAGAAGCAATGTAACCTCCAGTGGGAAGAGGTGGGCCTTTGGATGCCATTTAAATATGTATGTTTAAAAGTATGTAATATTGAGCTGGGCATGGTGGCTCACACCTGTAATCCTGGCACTGTGGGAGGCCGAGGCAGGCGGACCACCTGAGGTCAGGAGTTTGAGACTAGCCTGGCCAACGTGGGGAAACCCCATCTCTACTAAAAATACAGAAGTTAGCTGGGCATGGTGGTGGGCACCTGTAATCCCAACTGCTGGGGAGGCTGAGGCGGGAGAATCGCTTGAACCGGGAGGTGGAGGTTGCAGTGAGCTGAGATCGCGCCATTGCACTCCAGCCTGGGTGACAAGAGCGAAACTCCATCTCAAAAAAAAAAAAAAAAAGTATGTAATATTGGAAATAATTTGTGAATATGCTGGTCAGAATTTTAATCTACGTATAAAAATTTAAGGAGATGTTAAAATGTGTTTTGGTAGTGAGACTGATTTTTGTTTTCCTGTTATAGTTTTGGGGAAAAAAATGATGAGAGATGGATGACCAGCAGCATTCTTAATTTCTTGTCCTTGTGGTTCTTTGTAAGGCAGAGGAACAGGTTTTGCCTTCATTATAGAGGGCATCTGTATGAGGCTTTGTTGTTCATGAGTTTCAGTGTATGTCTCTGGGGACAAAAATGTGAGTTGCCACTGGGTGAATGTAGTGCCACCTGAATGTTGAAAAACACAACTCCTGAATCACCACCAAACCTGTTCTTCCTCCAGGGTCTCCCAAGAGAACAGGTTTGGTGGGGATTCAGGAGTTGTATTTTGTTCATGTTAAGTCTGAGATGCCTCCTAGACATTGAAATGCACAATGACCATTTCAGAATGAAGGAATTTCCAGTGGATAGTTTTTAGCAGGTAAAAGCAGCCCCACCTTATGTTCAGTGAGCACTTGTGTAAGTGCTGGGAGGCATGGTCTATGGATACTGTGAGGTCTGTGTAAGTGTGGAGAAGCTACACCTAACTCGGCCAAAGGGAGGGCTGAGTCAGTAAGGCCTCAGAGGCCTGCCCTCCCCATGTGGCACTTGGACCTGCCACTACTAGAGTGACTTGGGGGGTTTGAAGCGTGAGTGGCAGGGGAAATAGGCACATGTCAAGAACCACACTCTGCTGCTTTGCCAGTCTCCTCCACCATGCCCTGTGAAACTCACAGTCCACCAAGAGCACTCTCTTAGTTCTCTGCTCTGAACAACCACTTTGCCTGGCTTTCTCAGTAACACCATCTACCGCTACCCCCGCCCCCACCCCACACTCTCCCAGGCAGAAGCAGAGTCATTAGTATTTAGCCCTCTCACTGTGGGCCAAGTGACAACTTGTTCCTTCACTAGGGTACATCAGGACAGGGATAAGCGTTAAGCATCCCTGGTAGAGACCTGAGGAACATTGTGCAAGGCGGCCGGGGTTGTTGATAGTATCTGTATCAACTACTAATGTTTTAGTTTCGCCTCCTGGCAGGGCGAGGGTTTTAGCAGTGCCACAGAAACCGTTCTTCATTGAAGCAAATCATCTCCCAATAATGGAATCTCACTAACTTGCTGACCCAGCATTCTGTTCTCTCAGACCTACCTCATCCCTTCCCACCTTTGGAAAAAAGCTCCATTTAAGGTGAATATGCCAACAAAAAATCTTGTTGCTCAGCTCCAGAAGATTCTCTGTTTAAGATCTTCCAAATTAGCTGTAGAGAACCCCAGGAAATGATCCAGCCACATAAAGACTCACTTTTCCCACGGACCCCCAAGGAGCTCTGAAACCACCAGCAAACACCCAGTTGTTGCCTTTAGCTCCTTAATTTGACTTGGGAACTCTGAAATCCCTTAGTCATTGGTGTATTTTCAGACAATTTCAATAATCTGACCAGTCCCATCCTCTACTTGTTGCTTTTTTCTAATCTCACTCTTGAAAGAAAAGTCATGTGATAGAACCACCTTTTATTATACGACCACCACACTGCCCAGAGACAAGGCCCAAAGGAGAGCACAGAGGCTCTTGAATTTACTGGACGGTCTTTGTTGGCAAAGAGTCATAATTATAGAATCTTTTAGGTCATATTTTATCCTTCATCCAGACATCTGTAGGAGTTGGCTTCTTGGGAAACTATAACATCACTTAGCCCCTAAGCTGAATTTCTTAACCTGTAAAATGGAGTTAATAACTGGACTGCCTTGTCAAGGTGTTGGATAAATGAAATCTGTCCTAACAATAGACACTTAAATCTTGGGCCTGGGCATGGTGGCTCACATCTGTAATCCCATCACTTCAGGAGGCTGAGGTAGGAGGATTGCCTAAGCCCAGGAGTTTGAGACCAGCTTGGGCAACAAAGTGAGATGCCATCTCTACAAAAAATAAATCAGCCAAGTGCAGTGGTATGCACCTGTGGTCCCAGCTACTAAGGAAGTAGAGGCAAGAGGATTCCTCTAGCCCAGGAATTTGAGGTTGCAGTGAGCTCTGATTGTTCCACTATGAGTACAGTGGCACAATCAAAGCTCACTGCAACCTCAAACTCTTTGGCTTGATGAATGAGTGACAGAGCGAGACCCTATCTCAAAAAAAAAAAAAAGTGTAGGTGGAGGAGGAGGAGATGTATTGAGGAATTATGCAGGATTTCTAAACTTGGTTATATTACTTCCAGATCTCTATTTTCTTCATGGAGACTCTTGGAGTTTCCTTTTCTTTTTTTCCTTTTTCCTTTTCTGTTGAAATGAGGATTGTACTCTTGCTGAGTATCTTCCTAATCTGGTAGGAATCTTCTGAAACAGAAATGTAGAAGAAAATTTCCATATCTATGAAGATGAATTGAACCAATAGTTCTAAAACTTTCTTGAGGATAAGAACCTGGGATGCTTCCCATTCAGTCTCTTCTGGGACAGTGTCCTCAGTCTGTGTTTTTTAACTCAAGCTTAGGACCATGCTGGTGCAGGTGGCAGAGTTACCCTTTGAGAAATGCAAAAATCAATTCTGAAAACTGAAGGTTCATAAGCTAGTCACAGATTTGGGTGCCAAAGTTTCCATTCTAGTGTGGACGTAGTTTTTCCTTCCAGTAGGTTTCCAGGAAGAAAAGGCCCCGGTTTGAGCATGACCTGTGGGAGTGACCTGAAATGAGATGTGAGACTATGTCTCATGTTGTTGCCAAATTAAATGACCCCACTGAAGCTTGGCTGAGAGGTGGCAGGGGCTGGCTTAGGATTTGAGGACCAGTGATCCTGTGGTAGTTTCATTGGCATTAGCTTCAGTATATCAAGATATCCTCGTTTTTGAAAGTTCCTTTCTGCTGGGACTCTGCTATTTCCTGAGCCTCCAGTGTCTGTCCTGTCAGGCTGCCCCTGCCTTTGAAAAACTTGCCACTTCCAGGAATAGGGTGGCTTTGCCTGACAATACCTCAACCTGTTTGAGAAGATGGACAGGCGAGAGCGTTGGTGAGATGGCAGTGGCTCCGGGTGCGAAAGAGGAAGGTAATATGAATGCAAGTAGGAAGAAAGGAGTAAAAATGAGAAAGACCTCCAGAGCCAAGTGTTTGGAACAGCTTTGGAGATTTCCGCTTCAGTATGATCTTCACAGATTTGAAATCTTGTTAAGGGAGTCCTATTGTGGCAGCAGGTTTGTCGTTTCTGCACTGAAACTGTAAACATTTCAGTATGGGTGCCTTGTGAATAAGCAGCTTCCAGTAATTGGCTTTCTGGAAGCACAGACCCAACTCCTGGGTAGGATGAGCCATGGAGAGAAGCAGCTTACACCAAGAGTCACTTCCCTGGAGTGTAATTTCTTTAAAAAGATGCCTTTTTAGATTCAGAAAGCACAAAATGTAATCATTTCTCTTTATAAGCTAATCCACTGTTTGAGCAAAGGGTAAAATAAAAATAAGCTAGTGCAAGACCTTGTGCAACTTCAATTTCAGTGTTTCAAACTATGTAAGTATTTCTCTCCCTGTACTTGAGAAAAAGCTCTTCTCTTTCTTCATCACAGGGCTGCCGCAGGTCTCCTACTCCTGCTGGGTTCAGCCTTTTCTCAGGTTCTCTGCTTTTATTCAGAGGAAAAGTGCTAATCAATGGCTTATACCTAGTCCTGGACTCTAGCACTCTGTGCCCTTCCTTTCTAATTTCTTAAAGGGCACAAGCTCCTTTTAACATAGGAAAAACTCCGTTAGACAAAATATATAAGGTTTTCAGCACAGTGGCAATTTTCTTTTGGGGCTATAAAAGAAACCCTCTGATTAGGATTATTTTAATGGAGTATATATAACTGTAGATAAGATAAAATGCAGGCTGGGTGCAGTGGCTCATGCCTGTAATCCCCGCACTTTGGGAGGCCGAGGAGGGTGGATCACCTTAGGTCAGGAGTTCGAGACCAGCCTGGCCAATATGGTGAAACCCCGTCTCTACTAAAAATACAAAAGTTAGCTGGACGTGATGGTGGGTGCCTGTAATCCAGCTACTTTAGAGGCTAAGGCAGGAGCATCACTTGAACCCGGGAGGTAGAGGTTTCAGTGAGCCAAGATCTCGTCACTGTACTCCAGCCTGGGCAACAGAGTGAGACTCCATCTAAAAAATAATAATAAAATGCAAACTGTGTTTCAGAAAAAAAGGCAAGTTTGGTTAGCACAAAGAAACATCATTAGTGACACCTGTGTTGGCCTTCTGAGTTATGAGACTTCATATTAACATTATAACAAACTACGTATACATTTTGTGCAAGAGAAAAATTACTAAACCAGGCCTTCTTGAGTAATGCTTTAATTTTCCAGAAGGGGGACATAGATTGGATTTAACTTAAATTGAGGCAAATGGATGTATTTTATTTGGGAAATTGTTTTTTGTTCCTCCTTTGTTTTGCCTCCATAAATTTATTAATGCAGAACCTGAAGGCTGTAAACCCAGGATAATTAGAGTTACAGTGTTACAGAACATTAAAAACCCACAGCAAGTGGCTGATATCTGCCTACCATATCTGCAGTTGAAGTTCATACCATGTGTGATAATTACGAACTTTCTTTTTTGTGGGCACCTTGGTAGAAATTATTAGTATCACCTGCCATATTTTCACATGTTACTTAAACATCAATAAAGTGTACATAGTAAAGCAGATAGCTGAGGGTGGGGAATAAGTGGTTAAATACTGTGTCTGACCTGTAAAATACGCTCTAAATAGACAAAAGGAACCCCTTTGTGTGGCAGCATAGCTGGGTTTGGTTTAGTAGCAATAGTAGATTGTTAGCTTTAACTCCTCCTGGATGTCTGTGCTGCTGCCCATAGCCTTGCAGACAAGCACAGACGGCCTTTGTAGTTTCAAGGGACCATCCATTCCACATGGGACTAGAGAGT
Organism: Homo sapiens; assembly: GCF_000001405.40. NCBI lineage: Eukaryota > Metazoa > Chordata > Mammalia > Primates > Hominidae > Homo > Homo sapiens. The sequence goes on along the minus strand of NW_009646207.1, from coordinate 93,334 downwards.
AACAAAATGACTAGGGATCAGTGCTGGTACTTCCTGGGAAGTATGTGCAGGGTGTGTGTGTGTGTGTGTGTCAGTCAAGGTCTTGCCCTGTCATCCAGGCTGGAATGCAGTGGTGTGATCATAGTTGGCTGCAGCCTTGACCTCATGGGCTTGAGCAGTCCTCCTGCCTCAGCCTCCTGAATAGCTGGGACTACAGGGAGTGCCAACACACCCAGCAAATTTAATTTTATTTTTTGTAGAGACAGGGCCTTTCTTTGTTGCCCAGGCTAATCTTGAACTCCTGGCCTCAGGCAGTCCTCCCACCTCAACCTCCCAAAGTGCTGGGATAACAGACATGGGCCACCTTACTTGGCCCTGTTCAGGTTATTTTGCCCTGATCAGTGTCTTTAAGTAGCAGAAGATACCCCCACCGTGCCCTTTTTTCCCAACTGGGTATTATCCCCAATGTATTGTTGAGAAAATCAAGACTTAAATTAACTTGCCTAGGCTCCTGTACCAGTGAGAGACAGGGCCAAGTATAAGTTTCTTTTAGCCCTGCTGCTATTCCAGATCAGCAGCTTCAGTGGACAGCTCCGCTCCAGTGAAAAACTCCGAGAACTTCCTCTCCGCCCCAGCTTTCTCTCTTTTCCTTATTTCTTGTCTTTGTTTTTAGACTGCCTAAATTTGAGGTAAAAATCAAAAAAGATTTCTGATAAGGAATATCTGAATATAAGGAAGGTACACAGAGGAATTGTCAGTTAAACTAACTGGAACAGTTTCTTTGACTAGATTTGTCGTTGTTGTCCTCTACTTTAGGAGAAGTAAAATGATACGGAAAAAAAGCTTGCTAGCAGGGATTTATTTTAAAAAGCAAGTTTTAGGCTATGTCCTGGGATCACTTTGATAAAGCCTAGTCTCTTCCTCGTGTCTTACAAGAATACTCTTAATACAGAATCATAACTCTAAGACAACGGAAAACAATCAGTTTACTCAAAACCCTGAGCTATTTACTAAAGCAGGAAGATAGCCTGTGTTCTATAAAAGGTTTCTCGTAGTTACCCATAAAATGTCATTTGGAATTAAACCCATTCCTGACCAGTTGAGATTTTGCTCTCAGTCCAAAACATTCTCTTCTGTAAATGGAATCTTTCTAGGAGAAAGTAGCATTTAGAGCAGGTGCCACGTGTGTGCTCACCTCATCAGAATCCTGCTGTGCTGGCATCCAGAGGGCTCCCTGTCCACTGTGCTGATTTACACTGCCACACACTCAGGCTCACTGCAACACATCTCACAGACCCCCTGGCCATGTGTCAGCATCAAGTCCTGTCGGTTTTACCTTCGAAGTCTATGCTGCCTCTTGTATGCATTTCCACCACCAGTACCCAAACTCTTCCATATCATCCCTAACCCAGCAACAGCCATTGTTGGCCCTGGGTTCCTGCATATCAGCTTCCCACCCTCTCAGAGTTGTGCTCCACTGTGTTGGTTCCCTACACCCTGCCTGCTTGTCCCTCCACAAAGCAGTTTGTTCCCCTTCCCCCCAGGTAGCTCTTACTCACTCTTTATGACTCAGGTCAAGCTACACTCCCTCAAGAATGCTTTCCTGACTTCCTTAACTAGGTTGGTGGCATTAAGTCTGCGCTCTGAAGTACTGTTTACATCACTGTTTAAATTTTGCTTTACCCCCAGATCATTCTGTGAGCTCCTGGAGGGTAGACACTAGGTGAACTTTTGGCTCCCCATTTCAGCCCCTGCACACAGGCATGCAATAAAAATTTGTAGAATGAATAAAAAGAAAAGATTATTATACTTCTGAAGTCGATACCATCAACTCCTAAGGGAACTTAAATATCAAAGAAAAGAGCCCTGAGAATAAAAGGCACCTTGATCACACAGTGTCTTACAACCTTTAGAGAAACCTGCATGTCAAGGGGAAAGACCAGCCTGATCAAGTTCTTATTAATTTTCATCCAACCCATGTTTCTACTTTCTGGACATGCAGTTTTATGCTGTGGAATCAGGATTGACACATTAATAAGGCAAATTAAAAGTCCCAGAGAACAGCTCGTTAGGAAGTCAAACTGCCTTCTTCACATTCAGTAGAATAACTTACACTTTATGATTCTGAAGAAGCATGGGTCTGGTGTTTTTACTTTCGTTAGCCAAGGGTTACCTTCACATTATTGCAGAGGTCCCTTCCTCATAACACAGCTCACGGGTGAGAATCTGGATTTTTTTTTTTTTTTTTTTTTTTTTTTGAGACGGAGTTTCACTCTTGTTGCCCAGGCTGGAGTACAATGGCATGATCTCGCTCACTGCAACCTCCACCTCCCAGGTTCAAACGATTCTCCTGCCTCAGCCTCCCGAGTAGCTGGGATTACAGCCATGCACCACCACACCCAGCTAATTTTTGTATTTTTAGTAGAGACAGGGTTTCACTGTGTTGGCCAGCCTGGTCTCAAACTCGTGACCTCAGGTGATCCGCCTGCCTCGGCCTCACAAAGTGCTGGAATTACAGGCGTGAGCCACCATGCCCGGCCTGAGAATCTGGATTTTTTAAAGCAACAATGGCATAAAAAGAGGTATGTGACAGAATCTTCTGGAGAAAAGACCTCCTTCCCCAGCTGCGTCTTAGACCTACTAACTTCTCATTATTTGTTTGCTCAGTGTTAAAATGAGTAAGTCCATTGTATAAAGCTGTGTGTATTCTGAATATGTTCTTTATCTGCTCAAGATTGTGGCTAATTTCTGACATCCTCTGTTTGGTAGATGAAGTACAGAAAGACAAAGAAGGACATTCTTAATGAAGGAGAAAAGTCCTTTAATCCCAACCTTTCTAACCTGATGGAAAACATCATAACTTTACTATAAACTGCAGACAGGCTGGTCCCACCTTATGGGCACAAAGACATCGGAAGGGAAATAAGGGAACGGGCTTTCTTTGTGGATCAAAACAGAATCCAAGGATGTAGCTGTTAGATGCCGCCAAAACGGCCACACTCAAGAGATTTGGACCTGGGTCAGGCTTTCTGTGCGTTTTGTACCACTTCTGGGGCCAGCTACCACCCAACCACCACTCAGCCACAGAGACACTTATTACAGGTTTATAATTTGACTTGAAAGGTTTTCCCAAAGAAACAAATACTTGTCAGGATCTGTAGCAGAGCCATGTTTTGATTGGGGCTTTTATGGGAGGAGAATGGTGATCTAAATATATAATTTTATTTCAAATTATGCTTGAAAGATGATCAGATTAAAGAAAGTTTGTGTGAGTGTTTTCATGGGCTTGTATTGGAGGGAAGCAGATGACTGGGTCCCAGGAGGCAGAGAAGATGAACTATTGGGCCCTAAGTGTGTTGTAAGGAATAGTACCATCTGTTGGACCTAAGATCCACATGGCAGCAGAGGGTCCAGAATCAGCCACAGCAGATTATTCTAGATTAATGTGAGTAGGGACAGGTTTGGAGAAGTATGGCTAGGAGCACCTGGCAGGTGACTCTGATGCAGGCAGCAAAGGAGTCATTGGTTTCCAGGTCTGCTCTCCACATAACAGAGGGCACTGTCTGTAGAGTACAACAGGCAAGCCTGTGAGGCGGTTTTTCTCATTCTAGTTGTGCTCAATATGCCATTTTGGGGCAGTTTTCAATGCTTTCGAAATCCTGCTAGAATTTAATTTGTATGCAGTTGTGTGTCATTATTAGTCCCCATTTATTTAACATCTTTTCTTGTAATGCAAAATGCTTTAGAAAGCTTTAAAAATAGTTTTAGTTTGTATTGGTCCCAGATAGGAGAATTGAGAGGGGAGATACAATGAAAGTAATAGTAAATAGTAGCTAAGAAGTGAAGTGTCCAGAGACTTGGCCAAGAACTGACCTTCCACACCGTCGGAGATGAAACATTACTGAAACATACAGCAGCTAGACTTACCAAAAAAACGACCAGCAGCAGGTGTCCAGACCCATGCAGGGTCTGCTTGTTTAAGGCAGATTGTAGGAGAGAAATTACTTAACAAAAAATTAACTTTAAACTGTTTGTCTTAATTTAATAGACTGTACTTTGTATTATATCTGATTTTGATATCAGTAATTGCCAAAGTATGACAGAGATGAATGTATGTTTTATGTAATTTTTATTTAAAAGTTCTAATAATTACATAACTTTCTAGTTTGTAAAACACTTTTATGGTTATTTTACACAGCAGCTTTAGGCAGAAGGCAAAGCAAATACTGTTATCCCCATTTTACAGATGATAAAATTGACCTGGTGACTTTTGGCTTTCACACGTGTGCTGACACCCTCAGTTTTTTTCTCCAGTAGCCCTGTGCTGCATCATACCTGGACAGTATGCACATTAGACCAACCACATTTATTCTAAAAAGCTAGTCAAGCCTGGAACTTTTGTCTTAAGTACACACAATTAGCCCTTAGCCAGTGAGTGGCTGGCTGATGTTTCATACTGACATCATAATTGATTAAGTGTGTATTTAATGGATTCAGTTTCTGAAACTGGCACTTTTGCCGGAGCAGCTGTAGGACATAAGTGCAGATTCTAAATCCATGTACCATAACTTGAGTAGCACTGAGTAAATGGACCTGAGAAGAACTGGACAAGTCTCTGTCCCTCTGAGGTTGACTGGGAAGCCTTGGTGGTACTGGGCCGTGGTGCAGGTCCCAGAGGCTGGTGCCAGAGCCCATTCCCTCAGTCTTTGTGTTAATGGCAAGTTAAAGGTTCTCCAGCCAGTCTCATGAGCTTTTCATGAAGAAACGTAAGGAGATCGTCTAGCTCTAAGGAAGTAAGGACCAAAACACCTAGGGCTATGTATGTATTGCTTTGGCTAACACTTTGAAGTAGTCTTTAAGAAGCTTGATAGGATGCAGAGTTGCATCAAAGAAATGCTCACAGGGCCTTGAAGGGTAGCTCCTTGTATGTAGCCCATCTAGCTGCCACGTAGTTGGCATTGATAGCTGGGAGGACAGCGGCTTCCATCCTAGATGTAGGAGGCATAATTAAAAGGACAAAAAACTTTTTGCTGGTGGCCAAAAATGAACACATACCTTGTTCCACATTCTCCAAGCTCCACCAGCATCAGTTTTGTAACTCATTGAAGAGTATCCTCATTAGTTGTCTTCAGGCTCTCAAGTTTGTCAGACATTGCATTCATTCCATCAGCCCACATTTACAGTGCCTATGGTGTGCCAGTCCTTGGGGGGTGCAAGAACAAGTCTCACAGTTTAGGGGAGATGGACAAACATGAGTAAGTAAATATTGTGAGCATGAGCAGAAGTGTGTGCCATGCTGGATAAGAGCCGTCTTAGGCACAGTAGTGGAGGGTAATCTGCAAGGCTTGAACAAAACCAGTTGTCATCAGTGTGCTATAATACTACTGTGACCCAGTTGCTTTGGTGTTCTGAGGCTGCTCTGAGATGCTAATTAAACAGGATGATGATTCAGGTTGCTGTTATATCTCATAAGAAAGAGCCTTTCTGTGAATGAGCAGGCATCAGGCTTGGAGAAGGCTCCCTTAAAGCTTCCCTCAGATAAGGATTAAACAACGCTAGTTGACTCAGTCCTTGCAGTTTGCTACCTCAAGTCAGCGAGCCCTGCCTCTGAGACAGTGACAAAGTCTGGTGAAAGGTTCAAGCTCTGTATCTGGGCCACTTTCCGTTAAAACATGTCCCAAAACTAATAATACCTTTTATAATTTATTTCCCAAGTTTAGAGTATCAAAAAATGTGAGGTTCTTATTAGAGTTCTTTAAAAATAGTTTTTATTCCCTTCCATAATAAAAAATTTACTATTAAAAGATTTTGAAGTTTGGGCCATTCCTTATTTTTAAAATGTGTCTTAATTTAGAAATCATGCTTGGAGCCCCCAATGTGTCTCATTCTTCCTGGGGAGCAGTATTGTATGGACTTACCTCTGCTTGGAGTGAATGTAGTAACACTGTGGTCAAAAACAAAGGACATTTAGCTGTGCAGTGACTTTAATATATTATTTGTAGCATAGGAGGATGATAATGCAAATAGCTACTCCAGGTAAAAAGTATAGAATAAAAATTTAATTAGAAATTGTACTGGCCTGGGTATTGATTTTTGGGTAGAAGGGAAAACCTTACACATGGAAGATACTATAGATAAGTATTTATATTCTATCTTTGGCACCTGGCACCTAGAAAGTACTTTTCAAATGTTGGATAGTTGAGTGAATGAAGGGGGCTAACAGGCGTCATGGTATGGTATGAAGAAAGTTGAACTTGGGGTTCAGAAGAAAAAGAGGTAAAGTTCTAAGTTCTCTTACTAGCTATGTGATCTTTAGCAGGTCACTTTGCTTTAGCCTCTTGTTTCTTCTACAAGAAAAACAGATGTCGAAGACAGACCCAGAGTTCCTTCTTTATTGATCTCCTGATGTCACAATTTGCCTAGTGAAATTGTAGGTTTCACTAGGCAAATTGAGGGAGAAATCTGTTGCATTAAAGAACCTAAGGCCAGGTGCGGTGGCTGATGCCTGTAATCCCAGCACTTTGAGAGGCTGAGGTGGGCAGATCACCTGAGATCAGGAGTTCAAGACTAGCCTGGCCAACATGGTGAAACCTCATCTCTACTAAAAATACAAAGATTAGCTGGGCGTGGTGGCAGGTGCCTGTAATCCCATCTACTCGGGAGGCTGAGGCAGGGGAATCGCTTGAACCCGGGAGGTGGAGGTTGCGGTGAGCCGAGATCATGCCATTGCACTCCAGAGCGACAAGAGCGAAACTCCATCAAAAAAAAAAAAAAAGAACCTAAAAGGAAAATGAACAATCACTTGAGAGTCTTGGGAAATCCCCGTGTATTAGTTTTCTATCATTGTCATAACACCTTACCACAAACTTGTTAATACAGTTCTGCTTACAGTTCTGTAGGTTCAAAGTCCAACACAGGTGTCTTACTGGGCTGGAATTGAGGTGTGGGCTGGGCTTTGGAAAAGTCCAGAGTCTTAGGGGAGAACATGCTTCCTTGCCTTTTAAAAATTCTGCAGCTGCCGCCCTGTCCCTTCTCCCATCTTCCAGGCCAGCAGCATTGCACCTATGACCCTGCTGGCAAATCATCAGGTCTCCCTGAAGCTGACAACTGTAACTCCCTCTGGGGGGGAATCGTTTGCTTTTATGGGCCTGTGTGATTAGATTGGGCCCACCTGGATAACCTAGCATATTCTTCCCATCTCAAGGTCCTTGACTTAATCTCATCCACAAAGTTGATTTTGTATATATAAGATCACAGGTTCTTGGGATTCTGCCTACCATATCCCAAGATCTGATTGCTCTGTAGGAGACAGAACACTGAATGGCTCTCAGGAAACCAGTAATCCAGTAATCCTAGCTCACCCAGTCATTGTGTCTCTCTGGGTTTCTTTTTTCCGCATCTGAAAAGTTGGGGAGTTGAATTAGACCAGTGGTCCTCAAACTGCATTGTACATCAGAATAGCCTGGAGGACTTCTCACAACACAGATTTAGGTGGGGCTCAAAAGCGTGCATTTCTGCCAAGCACAGTGGCTCACGCCTGTAATCCCAGCACTTTGGGAAGCCAAGGCAGGTGGATCACTTGAGGTCAGAAGTTCAAGACCAGCCTGGCCAACATGTTGAAACCCCGTCTCTAGTAAAAAAACAAAAAGTTGCCAGGTGTGGTGGTTCATGCCTGTAATCCTAGCTACTTGGGAAGCTGAGGCACGAGAATCACTTGAACATGGGAGTCGGAGGTTGCAGTGAGCCAAGACTGTGCCACTGCACTCTAGCCTGGGTGACAGAACGAGACTCTGTCTCAAAAATAACCCAAAAAACAAAACTGCATTTCTGACAAGTCCCTGAGTGTTGCTGATGCTGCTGTTCCAGGGGACCACACTTCAAAAACCACTGAACTAAACTGTCTTTAAGGATCTTTCTCTAAGTCCCTAATACAGCCTGAGAGTCTTTCCCCTTTGGATGCAATGTTATAAATTAATCATAGTGGAGTTTGCACACTGCTTGCCAGGTTGTGGAGTTGAGGTAGGAAGCAAATGGACATTGTTCAGATCTAAGCTCCACGTCTTCTCTTTCCTCTTGTAAACCGGGATGGTGATGAGGCCTGCTGTGTGGTTGCTTTTCATGAGATGGTCTTTGTAGATTATCTAGCATATGTCTGACACATGGTCATCTTGGGTCACATTTACTTAGCACTTTTGACCCAGCCACTGTTTTAAGCCTGAATTAATTCATTTAACCCTTATGACATTTCTATGAGGTGAGTGCTATTATTAGTCCCACGTCTGTAGGTTGAGGAACAGAGGTTAGGAGTTTGGCCAAGAAGGCAGAGCTAGAAAGTGGAGCCACTTACCAGGCAGTTATTTAGGTTCCAGAGCATGCATACTTAACCCTTCTACAGCAGCACCCAAGTTTCCTGTAACAAGGCTAGAGGTGGCCTGGTCCTGGGTTTGGGTGATTTAGTGCTTGACAGTGTCATGGTAGGCCCAGGTCTCTCCATCTTGCCACTCTTCTGTCCTCAGCAGGCTGGCTTTGTCTTCAGGGCTGTCCCCTCATGGTGATACTGTGGCTGCCACAGATCCCACTGTCTAATCCTCACAGAGGCTGCGCAAGAAAAATTACCTGTTCCTCCCTCTTGTCTCTTTTTGAGAGGGTGAAACTTTCATGCTTGTAATCTTAGCACTTTTGGAGGCTGAGATGGGAGAATTGCTTGAGCCCAGGAGTTCAAGGACAGCCTGGGCAACATAGTGAGACCCTGTCTCTACAAAAACATTTTTTGAAAAAGCTGGATGTGGTAGCACACACCCTGTAGTCTCAGCTACTCGGGAGGCTGAGGTCAGGAGAATCACCTGAGCCTGGGAGGTAGAGACTGCAGTGAGCCATGATTGTGCCACTGCACTCCATCCTGGGTGACAGAGCAAGACATCGTCTCAAAATATATTAAAAAAAAAAAAAAAAAGGTTGGGGGGAGTGCAAAATGTTTTCAGAAGCCCTTTTTCCTGCAGACTTTCCTACCAGAAATGCTTGACCATACCCATTCCTAAATGGCCACCACTCACTGTGATTCATCCCCCAGGGTAGGGAGGGCCATATCTTCGGGCCTCTTGAGTAAGAAAGTGGCAGCAGGAGGCCAGATGCGATGAGGTCAGGAGTTTGAGACCAGCTTGGCCAATATGCAAAACCCCATCTCTACTAAAAATACAAAAATTAGCCTGGCGTGGTGGCATACGCCTGTAATCCCAGCTACTCAGGAGGCTGAGGCAGGAGAATGGCTTGAAACTGGGAGGCAGAGGTTGCAGTGAGCCAAGATTGCGCTACTGCACTCCAGCCTGGGCGACAAAGCAAGACTCCATCTCAAAAAAAGAAAGTGGCAGCAGACATGGCTGCAGGTTGGCCACCGATGGACTACCCACACTCCCTTCTCTGAAGTTGATAGTCCTTTTGATTCTGAGATGCTCTGTGGCACTGACAAAGGTCGACAGAGTCTAGGGCTACTAGAAATGCTGTGAACTTGTCCTTGGTTTACTCCAGACCAAATGATCTTTTCTCTCTTAACAAGGGTGCGAGGGCACATGATAAACATTTACTGATTATGGGCACCCAGAAGGACCTTGATCTTCTGAGAGCAGGGCAAAGCTTTTGAAGGACTAATCTCTTCCAGCCCTTGTTCCTACCTCTTTTGTCTCTGGAGGATGCCAGAGATGATCATCCAGAATCTCAGCTCTGACCTGGAACAAGTTATTTTCCCTTTGGTGTCTCAAGAGTTTCACGTGAAGCATTAGGAGTGCCTGCCAGGTGGAATAGTGCAGAGGGCTGGATGAGATCATTCAGTCTGAGCGTGGCGAGCGCTTGGGCTTTGCTGTTGCTGGCGTTAGTGTAGTTTTCCATCAGTATCTGTGTCGGGGGCCTGAGCCAGCTCAGTGTAATTGCTTAGGGAACACTTTTATTTTTCATAGAAGCAGGAACAAGTTTCTGTCTCTTCCAGCTAGTCTTGCTGGTTGTGTGCCTCTGCTATCTGAAGAGCCAGCATCCTTAGTAGGGTCACATGTGGTTGAGTTTTATGAATGTGTTTGTTGCTGATAGGACACATTTCTTACCTGACAGGATGAGCACTCACAGCAGCCACATCACAGGGCTGACAGAGATGTGCCCCACTTTAAGAAAACCTGACCATATAAGGAGGAGTGTCTCAATTACAAAATAATGTCTCACTTAGCCAGAAATTCATGGCAGGTTTTCTGGTGCATTTAAAATAAGATTCATGTATAAAAATACCATTTGCACACAGGAGCCCATATTTTCTGAAAAGGGAAATGTATTGGGCATTTGGGGTAAGTAGATCAAAAATAAAAATAAAATCTTCTTACAAATACAAGAACTAGAAACCAAATTCCACTTCTAATTCTAAAAGGTTTATATATAACTCTACTACCTTACCCTCTCTTACCCCAGATTTTCACAGCAGAAGTAAACAGGGAAGATCTGCAGGCCGCTCACGATAGCAGCAAGGAAATGCCTGGCATAGTGTGTGGGTGGGTGGATGGCGGGGGTACCAGAGGCAGGGCTGGGGACCCCACTCTGGCATGTCCTTTATGACATGGATTGCTCATCTCACCCTGCTGTATTGTTGATTTGAGAACATTTGTGAGGCTTGGTCTAAAACATTATTGCTGGATCCCTTCCCATGGTGTGGTCAGTGAATGGCATTTAGAAATTGACCAGCTCATCCTGCCACCACGGACTCCTCTAACCACAGAGACACGTGCTGAGGTCTAACAGATGGGGACCAGGGAAGGCCTGGAGGAGAGGGCCAAATCTGGGATACTGACATGCCTGACTTTTCCCTTCCTTTCAGAAATGTTCCCACTGCCAGGAGGCAGGCGCCACCTTGGGCTGCTACAACAAAGGCTGCTCCTTCCGATACCATTACCCGTGTGCCATTGATGCAGGTAAGAGGAGACCACAGACCCTTGTCCAGAGCATCCAAAGGATTAGGACATACAGTTTGATTCTCTCTGTTGTCGTTGTTTTTTTTCTTTTCTTTTCTTTTTTTTTTTTTTTTTTTTTGTCACTTCATAAAAAAACTTCCCACCCATTAGCAGCACTCATCTCCCTTCCCTTCCCTCCAGTCCCTGGCAACCACTATTCTGTTTTCTTTTTTAAATTTTTATGATTTTTTTTTCCCTTTAAGCTCTGTTGGACTCAATCCTTTCTATCTCTGTGGGCTTTGCTGTACATTTGGGTTACTTCCACTTTTTGACTGTTATGAATAATGCTGCTATAGAACATTCACATGCAAGCATTTGTGTGAACATGTTTTCAGTTCTCTTGGATGTGTACCTGGGAGTAGAATTGCTGGATCATATGGTAACTCTGTTTAACCTTTTAAGGAACTGTCAGACTGTTTTCCAAAATGGCTGCCCCATTTTACGTTCTCAGTGGCAGTGCATGAGTGTTCTCCTTTCCCCAGGTCCTCCCTGACACTTGCTGTCATATGTGTTTCTTTTTTTTTTTTTTTTTAATTGTAGCCAGCCCAGTGGGTATGAAATGTTATTTCATTGTGGTTTTTATTTGTATTTCCCTGATGGCTAATGTCGAGCATTTTTTTCTTGTGCCTATTGGCCATTTGTACATCTTCTTTGGAGAAATAGCTATTCACATCCTTTGCCCATTGTAAAATTGGGTTGTTTATCTTTTTAATGTCAAGTTTTAAGAATTATTTGTAGGCCGGGCGGGTGGATCATGGGGTCAGGAGTTCAAGACCAGCCTGGCTAAAATAGTGAAACCCCGTCTCTACTAAAACTACAAAAATTAGCCAGATGTGACGCGCACCTATAGTCCCAGCTACTCGGGAGTCTGAGGCAGGAGAATCACTTGAACCCGGGAGGCAGAGGTTGCGAGATCACGCCACTGCACTCCAGCCTGGGCAACAGAGTGAGACTCTGTCTCAAAAAAAAAAAAAAAAAAAAAAAGAATTATTTGTAATTCTGGATATGTGGTTTGCAAATGTTTTCTTCCATTCTCTGAGTTGTCTTTTTACTTTCTTTTCTTGATAGCATCACACAGGTAATTCACCATTGGACACCAACTGGGTGTCCTATAGTTTAGCTTGGTTCTGATACTAAGCAGAGTTAGTGCAGCCCCTACAGGTTAAGGGCTCAGTCCCACAAGACCGCTCCCCACTTCATATACCAATCTCAAGCCCTGTGTTATGACCTGTGTTTCTGAGTGATCAACTATAAACTGGGGTTCCCAAGACCGCTTCCTTGGGTTTGATTAATGTTTAACATGGCTCACAGAATTCACGGAAACACTTCACTTGTGTTTACCCATTATAAAGGATGCAGATGAACAGCCACATGAAAGAAACATAGGGCCAGATGTGTGGGCAGGGGCATGGAGCGTCCATGCTCTCTCCAGGGGCACCACCCCTGAGGCACCTTCATCTACTCAGCAGTCCAGAAGCCCTCTGAATCCAGTAGTTCACGGATTTTTTGGAGGCTTCATCATGTAGGCATAATCAATTATTAACTCAATCTTCACCCCCTCTGTCCTTCCTGGAGTGGGGTGGGTAGAGCTAACAGTTCCAAGCTGCTAATCACAGCTTCGTCTCTCTGGTGCCCAGCCCCCATCCAGGAACCACCAAGAGTAGCCTTAGAACAAAAAGTGCTCCTATCCAGGAAATTCCAAGGGTTTAGGAGCTCCATGTCAGGAACCAGGATCAAAAACCAAATATTAGAAGAAAAGATGCTCCTAGCACCCCTAATTGCTCAGGAATTTACACGGGTTTTAGGAGGTCTGTGCCAGGAATCAGGGATGAAGACTAAAATATGTATTTCTTACTCTAAATCACAGTACGTTGTATACATACAATAGAGTGTTGTATTTTCTTTGCTGAGATGATAGGGGGATGTTTTGCAGTGTGTTAACTGTTGAAAGAAGGGAAACATTTTGTTAAAGAAGTGCCATCCAATGAGTGACGCAGAAGACTTGAGTTTTGACTCAGAGCTTCGATAACCTGGGAAAATCACCTTTCTTACTCTAGACTTTTAGTCCCTTCAGTGGGTGTTTTCCCCAGTTACTTTTTTGGCGGCAAGGTGGGTGTTAATTTCAAGTTTATTAAGTTTTTTACTTTTCTTTTTGAGACGAAGTTTCGCTCTTATCGCCCAGGCTAAAGTACAATGGCATGATCTCAGCCCACTGCAACCTCTGCCTCCCAGATTCAAGTGATTCTCCTGCCACAGCCTCCCGAGTAGCTGGGACTACAGGCGCCCACCACCATGCCCGGCTAATTTTTGTATTTTTAGTAGAGACGGGGTTTTGCCATGTTGGCCAGGCTGGTTTCAAACTCCCGACCTCAGGTGATCCACCCACCTCAGCCTCCCAAAGTGCTGGGATTACAGACGTGAGCCACCGCGCCCAGCGTTTTTTACTTTTTTTAATGGACAGTAATTGTAGATATGGGGTGCTCAGTAATGTTTCAATATATATATAAAATGATCAGACCTAGGTAATTAGCAAATCCATCGTCTCAAACAACATGTCTGTGTTGGGAACATTTGGTATCTTCTAGTCATTTGAAACTATACAATATAATGTTGTTAACTGTGGTTATCCTACAGTGATACAGAATACTAGAACTTATTTCTCCCATCTAGATGTAATTTTGTATTCTTTAACAAATCTCTACTTATCTCTTCCTTTCCTTTCCCCTTCCTGGCCTCTAGTATCCTCTGTTCTACTTTTTAATACTTCCGTAAGATCAGCTTTTTAAATTTCCACATGAGCGAGAACATGCAGCTTTTAACTTTCCGTGCCTGGCTTATTTCACTTGACATAATGTCCTCTAGTTACTTGAGCATTAGATGTATCTAAGACCATCACCCAGGCAGCCCCCATAATGCCTGTGGTCACGTTTGAGGAAAAGTGGTGAGAGAAGGCAGCAAGTAGCATGGTGCTTGTCATGTGCATGCCCCCTCTCTGTGCTTCCCCAGGAGAGAAGCAGGGCTGTCCACGGAGGCAGCCACGCTGTCCATAGGAGGCGGGGTTTGATTTGAATTTGATGGGAAGGGGAAGAGGGCGTGGCTGACTGCATGATGGGAACAGGCGTGAGGCATAACATACACAGAGCAGGGCCAACAGACTTGGATCAGGTCTCAGAATTCATCCTGCCCCCCCCTTCCTTCCAGCGCAGCAGTTGCTTGCAGCTCCTGACTTTTGTTTAAGCATATGTCTCCATTCCTTTCACATCCTTCTTGCCCTTACCTCCCCCTTCCCTCTTTTCTCTCCAAGCTTCTGTAGGAGAAACAGTTAAAAAGAACAAGAGAGGTAGAGAAGATAATGCTGATGCCAGTTAGACTATTACAAAAGTGTGTGTATTCACACGTACATGTGGACTGAAAGGCAGCTTGATGGCCAAGGCACTATTTGATCAACGGAAAGATAGGGAATCAGAAACAGAGTGCCAGGTGTGGTGGCTCACACCTGTAATCCCAGCACTTTCGGAGGCTGAGGTGGGAGGATTGCTTGAGCCCAGGAGTTCGAGACCAGCCTGGCCAACATGGTGAAACCCTGTCTCTACAAAAAATACAAAAAATTAGCCAGGCGTGGTGGCCCTTGTCTGTAGTCCCAGCTACCCAGGGAGGCTGAGATGGAAGGACCCAGGAGGGGCTGCATGACCCTCAGTTGGGCCACTGCACTCCAGCCTGGGCAACAGAGTGAGACCCTATCTCAAAACAAAAATGAAGTAGCCTTGAAATGTCAGTTCAGGGAGTTTGGGTTTTAGTCCATCCCTTCTGTTCTCTTTTTTCCTCCAAATGTTTTCATGTTGAGTCTAAGGTGTAATTTACCCTGGGTCATGGTCTGCCATATTCTGTAGTACAGCTGTTAAATCCTTCTCTTTCAAGAGCTAACCAGTTGGGCCAGGCACGGTGGCTCACACCTGTAATCCCATCACTTTGGGAGGCCGAAGTGGGCGGATCACAAGGTCAGGAGATTGAGACCAGCCTGGCCAACATGGTGAAACCCTGTCACTACTAAAATATGAAAAATTAGCCAGGTGTGGTGGCGCGTGCCTGTAGTCCCAGCTACTTGGGAGGCTGAGGTAGGGGAATCGCTTGAACCCGGGAGGTGGAGGTTGCAGTGAGCTGAGATCACGCCACTGCACTCCAGCCTGGCAACAGAGCGAGACTCTGTCTCAAAAGAAAAAGAAAGAGAGCTAACCAGTTAACTAGGTATGGTGGTTCACACCTGTAATCTCAGGTACTCGGGAGGCTGAGGCTAGAGGATCACTTGAGGCCAGGAGTTCAAGTTCAGCCTGGATAACATAGCAAGAACAGGTCTGTTCAAATAAAAATAAGTTTTTAAAAGAGCCAACCAGTTGCCTTTTCTCATTTTCATTACCTCTAGTTACATCGTAATATTGTGTTTTCTTCCCTGTAGTCTAGTGGCCAGGAAAGAGGGGGAGCAGTAATATAAAGTTTTGTTTCTAGTTGAAAAAAATGGCTTTTTTTTTTTGTTTTTTGAGACAGAGTCTCGCTGTGTTGCCCCGACTGGAGTGCAGTGGCGCGATCTCGGCTCACTGCAAGCTCCGCCTCCCGGGTTCACGCCATTCTCCTGCCTCAGCCGCCCCAGCAGCTGGGACTACAGGCGCCCGCCGCCACGCCCGGCTAATTTTTTCTGTTTTTAGTAGAGACGGGGTTTCACCGTGTTAGCCGGGATGGTCTCGATCTCCTGACCTTGTGATCTGCCCACCTTGGCCCCCCAAAGTGCTGGGATTACAGGCGTGAGCCACCGCGCCTGGCCAAGAAAATGGCTTTTAAGTGAAAAAAAAAAAAATTTTTTTTGAGACAGGGTCTCACTGTGTTGCCCAGGCTGGACTCAAACTCTTAGGCTCAAGCGATCCTCCCAACTAGCTGGGAATACAGGCATGTACCATTATGCCCAGCTATATATGAGGATTTTTAAGTATTAAGTTTTTTTATGGTTGATTGTTAGTTTTATATTGGGAATACTGTGAGTTTTGGCTCTCCCAGTTCGCAGCTGGGTAAGAAGTGGTCCCCCACTGAGGCTGTGTTCAGGGACACATTAGGGTGTGCTGACAGGCCGGTGCCACATCCCACCCGAGCACACTTCAGCAAGGGCCCCCCTGGAGGCTGCCCCCGTTCTGCTGATAGCCTGCCTTCTGGTCCAGCTTCTAAGATGTCAAGCAGCAAAGCTCAGCCTAACATACTGCAATGATGGAAACGCTCTAGCTCAGCACTCTCCAATGTGGTAACCACAAACCAGATGTGATCATTGAGTGCTAGTGGGACTGAGGAAATGAATTTTTTTTTTTAATGTAAACTTAAGTGGCCATGTATGGCTAGTGGCTGAACAGCACAGGCTTAGAGCTACCCTCCTCAACCCAAGTTCAGGCAATATGGTTGGGATTTTTTGGAAGGGGCCATAGAGCACTGGAACATCCTCTCCTCTAGTGGAAGCTTGTGCCCAGGTTGTCACCCCAGCCCACCAGCAGAGAAGCGCAGGACCCTCATTATTAGCTGAGGACTTGTGAGTAAATGGTGTCTGTCATTTTCTGTTTTGGGGCCCATCTTGGTAGCCTGCCTAGTTAAGCTGGTAGCATCTCTATTTAACAGAAGTTGGTGGCCGCGTGTCCAGCAAGACAGAGGGGTCTGGGTTGGGAGGAGTGAGGGTAGGGCTGTCGGCCTCTGGCTTTGCTGCCTCTGCTGCTGTGCACTTTGCTCCTTCATGTGGAGACCTGGGACCCAGAGGCAGTTTCACAAGATGACCATGTCTTGGTCATTGCGGTCTTTTTGATGACCCAAGTCACAGTGACCCAGAGGCCTGCACTGCTCTGTGGGGATGGACGCTTGTATTATTCCACACAGTCTTCTTGGAAATTGCTCTCTGTGTATGATGTAACTTTGTATCCAGGAAACAAGTTTATTGATGGACTTTTCTTTCTAATCATAACAAAAATAAGTCCTTGGTTTGAGAATCCCTAACCTCCCTTATGGAGTAAAGAGCAGTTTAACATTTTCATCTCTGCCTTGCTGTCAACCCACCCAGATCTTTAAAGAGCTGTTGATGTCTCAGGGAAGACTTTTATTACTGGGACATCTCCATAGAAACAGAATCTTTGTTTCATGATCTGTGACTCCTGCCACCTTCCCCCCCACCTGATGTTGACCCTGCATTTCTGACATCATGGTCAGCTGTTTTGTGTTGCTTGTTATGTCATAGGCACAGGATTTGGCTCCAGGTGGGGGGGGTTACAGTAATAAGAGCATGAGCTCTGTTTTTTTTTTTTTTTAATTAATGTATTTAATGCAATGAGCCACAACAATTAAGACGAGAAAAAAAGGCTGTGGTAGCTCATTAATAATTCCACTGTGCGTAAAGAACCTTGTGTGGAGGGTTTTTTTTTTTTCTTCTACTCTCATGAAAAAACAGCTGGGAATTCTACTTTCTGCAGCTCTCGTTGCAGTAGCATTTTAAAGCTGCTATCTCTGCTGCAGACTTTGATCTTGCTGGTGCCATCAGAGCCCTGGATGGGTCATTAGGAAATGCCAGTAGTCTGACTCCTCCCCGGGGGACAGCCGTCTGCCTCACAGGAGCCAGTCCCAGTGCCAAGAGCCCCATATTTCCCTCCTTATGGCCCAGGAGCCTGAGCCTACCCTTCGGCAAGGCAGGGTGGGGCTGGCAGGCCCCTGTGTCCCAAGCCCTGCAGTGTGCCAACATAAGGAATAACAGTAGTACTGGGGTAGAGTGTAGGTGAATTGGAGTCTGTGTCTGCTACACAACAGATCCAAAGGACATTAAACCCTTCTTGTTTTTCCTACCTCCCTCCTTGAGCCCACCATCCTCAGCCTGGGAGCATGTGGATGCATGTGGGTATCTGAAGCTTCACAGAGCTTATAATGAGGAGCTTAGTAAATCCATTCTGCCTTTGAGCTTGAAGAGGGAAATGAAAGTGGCCTTCTCTTCTGGGGGTTGATGTTTGTGTCTGCAAGCCATCTTGTTGACTAGGCCACCTTGTAGGTCTTTTTGAGCTTGGATGATGATCTCGCAAGCTGTTTACTTTGACTTCACTATGCAGAAGTGCTGACTGCGCCCTCTGGACAGTGTAGGATGGTGCCTGGGCCTTGAAGAACACAGATTGAGAGACCTTGACTGGCTGGCCATGTAGGTGCAGTTGCCTGTTCAGAGTCCTCAGAAGAGGTTTTACTACACCTACTGCTCTTCACTCTTCCCTCCCAGCAGGGACTGGTAAGAGGAGAAGCTCCCCTGTGCCCTCCAGGTTTCTGAGCTCTCTAGCTGTGGTTCTGGCCCCTGCCAGGAACGTGAATTGTGCTTCCTGACGGCCTGTGGACATGTATGAGAACAGAGGAGGGCATTGTCTGCACAGTGTTCCTGCATGGGAGGCCTTGTCAGAGATGGACACTGCCTCAGGCAGATTGCTGTAGGAGACTTCATTTCCAGATGTATCTGGCATTAGTTTCAAGTTGTCGTTAGCGTGCATTCATAGTGTCTTACTCTTTTCTGCTTCTAACTCAGAGGGAACGCATTTCCTAACATGAGGCGTGTTTTATTAATGGTCCATCACAGCTGGTCACTGTTCTGTGGCCGTGAGGGAACTGAGCCACCTGCGCCTTTCTGATGGCACCCTTTGCTGCTCGTGTGGTCCCTGTCCTCACTGGTATAAACCCCTGTGGCGTAAGCGTGGCCCAGCCCCACGTGTGCTGTACTGTTTCTGTTTGGCCCAAACTAGAGACTAAGCCAGCATAGTGCTTGCTGCCAGAGCCCAGGTAAGAAGAGAGCATATCCCCTGAGCTCCAGTTGTCTGGCTCCTGCTGTTTATAAACTCTCTGGCAGATTGGAGCAGCGGGAGTCTTGGTCACACTATGTACTTGTGGGTTTTAAATTAACACATTTCATTTATTGCCTTGCTAGTTGCTTGCTGGGGGAGGGGCTTGGAGGTTAGTAGTAAGTTGCTGAGCTCTTGGGCCCACGGAGCCAAGAAGGCTGCCGCCCACTCTCTTAGATACTCATGGGCTCCAACGAAAGACAGGCTATGATGTTCCAGGTCTGGCCAAATATAAAAGGGTCTTTTTGATTTGTTTTAGGATACCGGGACCTGAAAAGTTTTCATGTGTATGTTCATTGCTTATTACTATTGCACTTGAAATCTGTGGGTGCACAGGCTGCTAGTCTGGATCTCAGTTTAAATTTAACAAGGATAAGTACCGTGGCTGCCTCCTGCCATGGTGCCTGGGAGCTCTCTGAGAATGTGTTATCAATATTTATTAACATTCTGCCACCGCGTTTTGCACCAGTGACCTGGCTGTCGGTCTCCAGGAGCTGTGGTGTGCAGAGTGAACTCATTAATTAGATTTCCTTGCCCTGATCCATGCACTACCCTTGTGTGAGAGCTCAGCTCACCTGGAGGCAGATGTGTCCTTGCTGCCATCCAGGATGCTGTCATCATGTTACAAGTTGGAATGAATCATTTTTCCTCCAAGGATTAAAAGCATCCTCATGGGATTTTACCTTCCTCTGAAGCATTTAGTGTGGATTATGTGATTTGTGTTGGAGGCTTCTGTGTCTCCGTGGGTCGTGGGGCAAAGGTGACAGTGGGGCTCTTGGGCCTGGCCACCTTTCTGTCTCAGACACCTGGGCATTCTCTGTACAGAGAAGAAAATACGCGTCTAGATTTTAAAGTGTTTTTACAAGGAGGCTTTGGCTTGAGCCTGAGAAATGGGGTTAGCCTAGAATCAAGGATTTTTAAAATAGCATTTATTGGTGATATCGTGGGAATATAGAAAAGATAAAATTTAAATCAGCTGTATCTTCTTACCCAAAGAGAATTATTGTTACATATTCATAGATTTCCTTTCAGTCTTTTTTTTTTTTTTTTTTTTTTTTTTTTTGAGACGGAGTCTCGCTCTGTCACCAGGCTGGAGTGCAGTGGTGTGATCTCGGCTCACTGCAACCTCCGACTCTCTGGTTCAAGTGATTCTCCTGCCTCAGCCTCCCAAGTAGTTTTTTTTTTTTTTAAGACAGTTTTGCTTGCCTAGGCTATAGTGCAGTGATGTGATAGTAGCTTACTGCAGTCTGAACTCCTGGGCTCAAGCAGTCTTCTCACCTCAGCCTCCCAAGTAGCTGGGACTATAGGCAAGTGCCATCACACCCAGCCTTTCAGTATTTTTTTTTTTTTTTTTAATAGTGACAGGATCTCACTGTGTTGCCCAAGCTGGTCTTGACTCTTGGATTCAAGTGATCTTTCTGCCTCGGCCTCCCAAAGTGCTGGGATTACAGGTGTGAGCCATGGTACCCAGCCCCAAGTCTTTTTTTAATGCGTAGAAACATTTTAATAAAATTAGCACATTTATACATTTGTACATCCTGGTTTTTTCAAGCAGTTTTGTTTCATGGGTGTTTTCCATACCATTAACTCTTTTCAAATGTTAATTTTTAAGTGACCGATATCCATCATGTTAAGGTATCATAGCTTACTTGGGTTGTCTCTAATGTTTTCCTATTAGAAGTAAGTGTAGCGACCTGCTACCTTTATGTCTGACCCTGTCAATCCCAGCCAGCATGACCACACCTATGTCCAGCTGTGAAGTCTCCATCTGACTGTCCCCTTCTGTCTTCCAGATTGTTTGCTACATGAGGAGAACTTCTCGGTGAGGTGCCCTAAGCACAAGGTGAGTCAGAGGCCCCAAGAGCTACCAGCAGGGATGGGATCGAGGGTGGCTCCTCCTGAAAGACCTGAAGACCAGGTGTTGGTGGGCCTCACCCACACCTGTCCCCACCTGTGCCTCCGGCTGTTAGTCCCCTCCTGGCCCTGGGAGGGTGGAGGGGCATGATGCTGAAGGGAGACCCGTGGCATGGGGGCCAGCACTCGGAGTATTATGAGGATCCCAGGAGAAATGTGTTTTGGGAGAGGGGGTGTTTGTCTGTTCATTAAGAGAGGTGAGAATATCTAACTCGATCAAGCCACTGATTTCCACTTGAGGTGAATAGAACCCCAATTCACAGGTTGGCGTTTGGTAAGTCTGGTTCTAGGCCTTGAGGCCTGTGCAAAGGCATCTTCCCAGACTAGAAGTCGAGCTGACCACAAGGCTCTGGGGAAGCTCAGTCTCTTCCAGGTTGTGCTTCTGCAGAAGCAGCCTGATGCACAGTGGATGGGCTGTCTCGGGCTCCACTTCCCAGTTTATTTAGGAGGTGGTCTCGTGGTCGCTTCCTTTAGGAAAGGGTGGGAGGTAAGGGGTGAATGGTCTGTTTGTGGATACCACATATGTGTGTGGGGAGGGTGTATATGGAGAAGGAGCCCCAAGAAAGGATCAGAACGGAGACCACTGCCACCTGATGTTTCCTGCAGGGGCTGCACTGTGTCTCTGGCTGAGGTCACACTGACACCTGGTGGTCACTGGTCACTCGCAGTCTTAAATCTAGTAGGGCCGAAAGTACTAGAAGGAGGTTGTCCAGAGAGGTCTGCCCTCAAAATGCTCCTGAAAGATGCTTGCTTATGCTTTTCTTTAAAAATTATTTCTGGGGAAGGGCGGGGAGTGGTCACAGGATCTTATATTCTCTTTATTTTTACTTAATTTGCATGTTATTTTTAGAACTCCCCTTTTTAAGGGTCACATTTTGCCTCAGAAAACCCTGTCTGAATGTCTCCTGTTTGTCGGTCAGGACTGACTCTGCCTTTTCTTTCCTTTTCCATGTGCCACTCCTGTCCTCCCTTTGCCCTCCCTGATTTCTGCACTGTCCTCTCCCACCTGTCTGTCTCCTCTTGGTTTTGCCCGTGTCAGCCTCCCCTTCCGTGCCCTCTCCCCCCCTTGCAGAACAAGACCGCGAAAGGCAGCCTCAGCACAGAGCAGTCGGAGCGGGGGTGAGGGGGGCAGTGTGCTCGTGGGAATGGAAAGGACAGCAAGCACAGGTGAGTCGGGGCCACCGGGCTCCCTGCATCCTGCCCGGCTCCCAGCAGGCGTCGTTGCCTCTGCCCTCCTGCTCGCTCTATGCTCTGCCACCAGCATTTCATCCTGTGGATGACAACGCCAGGTGGATGCAGTGTTCTTCCATTGGTTACTTAGCTCCCCAGATTATCTGTGGAAAGGAGTGGGGGCTTCTAAACTGTCCACTGCCAATGGGGTGCAGGGTGACTGTTCCTGAAGGCAGCCCTTCAGGGCACAGCTGGCCAGGGGTGGCCTTGTGAGTGGACACAACAGGCTTTTAGGTCTCTTTCTTGGGCAGGGCATCTCTTGCCAGTAGCCCCTGCTCTTTCCCCCGTCTCAGAAAGGGTTCCAGTCAAAGGTCTCTTCTTTTTAATTTACTACATTTCTGTAAAGCTTATGGTGTGTTTTCCTTTGAAAACAACAGAACTCTTGGGTTTTGTTATTAGAAATCTTTTTTTTCCAGTATTATGAAGGATTCCTTTTTGCAGAAGTACAAAGGAAAGAAAAATCCTCAAAGATTTAGTAGACTCTAGCATCTGATTTAATTTTACTCTTAAAAATCTCGAGGCTGGGCATGGTGGCTCATACCTGTAATGCCAGCACTTTGGGAGGCTGAGGCAGAAGGATCGCCTAAGCCCAGGAGTTCAAGACCAGCCTGGGCAACAGTGAGACCCTGTGTCTACATTAAAAAAAAAAAAAAAAATTAGCCGTGCGTGGTGGTACATGCCTTTAGTCCCATCTACTCAGGAGGCTGAGCTGGGAGGATCACTTGATCAAACCTGGAGGTTGAGGCTGCAGTGAGCCATGATCGTGCCGCTACATTCCAGCCTGGGCCACAGTGAGACCCTGTCTCAAAAAAAGAAAAAAAATTCTTGTGATTGAGTTGTGCTTGCTGTGAGTTTGTGTGGGATTATTGTGGTCACGGCCCTCTTGGCAGGCATCTGTGAAAACAGGATGATAGGACTTGGGGTCTCTAGAAGCTGCAGGCCTCTGAGCTCCATGCTGCTCCTTCACCCTCCCTGCGTCACTGAGGCATGAAGGGAAATAGGTTGTAAAGAAAAGAAAAACCAAAATGTACCTTGTGGCACTTGCTGCTACAGGATGGGGCAGGAGGACTAGTTGTCTCAGAAATATTCATTGAGGGGTCATTTCTCTCAAATGGGAGGACTTCTGTGTCGACCTCAGGAGTTTGACTCACACAGCTACGCTAGACGTGTCCCTTCCGGCACCACCATGTGCCTGACCACCTTCTGGAACGTGCCCTCCTCCTTGTTACCACTACTAATTTCCGGAGAAGGCCCCTCGGCTGCCACGCCATTTGAGAAGTCAAGTGGGGGCTGCTGAGTGCCTTCTTGATAGAGCGTTGAGTGTGGTGCCTTTCTCTTTCCTCTTCCGGGGAGTAGGGCTGGCAGTGAAGGGATCAGAGCAAAGTGGGGAGGTGGGTGGAAGCCATTCCATGTGTTCCTGGGTCAGAGGAACCAGATGAGCAAATGAAGCCTCTTGGACTTGGAGTACATTGCCACCATCAGCGAGTGGCTGCTGGTTTTCCAGAACCTGCTGGGCAGCACTGCCTGCTCCTTTTCCTGGGATTAGCCCTTAGGACAAGGCAGCCATTGCATTGCGTGGTTTTGAAAGGACTGTTTCTGTTGGCCCTCCTGCATGTCCCTACGCTCCTGAGGGTGTCACTGTGCCTTCCCATTGTCACCCCTGTGCCAGCACAGGCCAAGATGGTTAGAGTCAAGTTCTGTAGGGGACCACGATGCGTATTCCTGGAATGTGTCCTAGAAGACCTGGTTAAGGAAAGAGCTTAAGTGTTTTTTGTTTTTGTCCTGGAATTGCATCTGTGTTTGAGAAAAAGAAAGTTCAGGCCCTGGGCCTGGTGGACAAATCTCCTGGGGATTTTGTTCATCTGTTCCTCTCTAGTCATTCTTGGGCCTTCCTTCCTAGCTGTCAGGGCCCTTGACTCTTTTTTTTTTTTTTTTTGGAGACGGATTCTCACTTTGTCGCCCAGGCTGGAGTACAGGGGCACGATCTCGGCTCACTGCAACCTCCATCTCTGGGGTTCAGGCGATTCTCCCGCCTCAGCCCTCCCGAGTAGCTGGGACTACAGGTGTGCACCACCACGCCCAGCTAATTTTTGTATTTTTTGTAGAGATGGGGTTTCACCATGTTGCCCAGGCTGGCCTTGAACTCCTGACATCAAGTGATCTTCCCGCCTTGACCTCTCAAAGTGCCGGGATTACAGGCGTGAGCCACGGCGCCCGGCCAACTCTTGAACAGAACAATGAGCTTCATCCTTCTGGGTTGAAGCACAGTGATGAAGTGGCCTCACCCATTGAAGAGAGTCGTCTCAGGTCCATTGAGGTTGAACCATTCCATTCAGCTCTTGGAGGGAGAGGATGGACTCACTGCATCCAGTCCTGTCCATCTGAAATGTTTTTTATGTGCTGTTCCCACAAGGCATATAGCTTTTCCTGGTTTCCCAGTTCAGCAGTGACATTGAGGGTGGTCACCGTCCTTCATTTGTGGTAGAAGCCCTGGTGACTGGGGATAGAATCACACCTCTGACTAAAGGAGGACTCATCTTGGGCCCCATGCTGGGGACAGAGAGCCACCATTATTGGGTGCCCTGACAAGGCAGGGAACAGACAGCGAATGTGCGTGTGTGTCTGCCTCCTAGTGCGCCATGTTCTGACAGAGTGATATGATAGGTGCTGTGTGACTAAGATCAGACTACTCCATGTCTCTGTACTTCGGTTTCTTCTGTAAAAACAGGAATAGCAGTGCCAACCTTTTGAGATTCCATTGGGAAATGTCTCTAAGTGCCAGCACAGCACACTGGCTCTCAGCCCGTTGATCTGCCATGCCTAGCTGTGGGTTTCTCTTGGGAGTTGGAGGGGTCAAGGCAGCAGATTGGACCCTGCAGCTGTCTCTTATAGCAAAAAATACCCAAGGCTTGGGGTTAAAAGATGCCGCCCCTGCCTCCCAGCCTGTGAGGTATCTGGTACCTGACCCTCGCCAGGAGTGCGGAGGGGAAAAGTCCTTCTGCAGGCCCGTGGTTGCCCACTGTCTCTTTGTGCCAAGGGGGTTGCCTTGCTGGCTTGTGTCATTGGTTGGCAGGGCTTTTGACAGTGGAGTCCCTATACCCAGCTCTTCCTCCTGTCGTGAATTAAACAAGGAGGCCCCAGCTTGCCCTAACAGGCCCTGTGGTCCAGCACATGGGAAGCATAACCTTGATCAGGGCTAATGCTGCATCCTGGATGCTATGTACCCTGCACAGAACAGCCATGGATGGACGCTGAGCAAGGCAGGGAACGGGGCGTGGCCCCCCTGCCCCTGGAGCTGGACATCACACAGTCCATTTGTGTGTATGCATGAATGTCACATTCTAGAGTTCCCCTTTCCCCAAACTGGTCCAGAGGCAGTCCAGGGTTACACCTCCAGAGGAGAGCCTGAGTCTGTCCACTTTCCTTCCCCACCAGCCCCAGCCCAGGCATTGTGGCTGCTATAGTGCCCGCCTCCCTGCCACTGCTCAGCAGCCAAGTGCAATCTTCATTAGGCCTCCCTCCAGTCCTGTCCCTTCTCTACGTCAGAGATTCTTGTCATCTTCCACACAAAGCCCAGACATCTCACCTTGCCTTCCAGAGCCCTATGGAAGTCTCAGGTGACTCTCCAGGCCCCTGGCTGCCTCCAGCTCCTCAGGGACCAGGCTTCCTTCCTCTGGGCTTCTGCACACACAGTTCCTTGTGCTGGAAACACTTTGGCTCCCCATCTTCATGTTGAAAACAGGCTCCCATCTCCTGGGTCTCAGCTTAAATCCTACTTCCTCAGAGAAGCCTTTCCCTTTCTAAATCCTTGTCTCCATTGCCCCCCTCCTCGCTTGCAGCCATCCTAGCATCACCACAATTTCAGATCATTTACTTGTTTACTACCTGTCTCTCCACTAGACTGTAAGCTCCATTAGGGCAGGGACCACGTCTGTCTTTGCACCATCAAAGCCTAGCCCAGAGCGGGGCATGTAACTATGCTAGTGCCAAGTGAGTCTGTGTTAAAGAAATGAGTGCATCCCAGGCCGGGCACAGTGGCTAACGCCTATAATCCCAGCACTTTGGGAGGCGGGCAGATCACGAGGTCAGGAGATCGAGACCATCCTGGCTAACAATACAAAAATACAAAAAATTAAAACACTAAAATACTAAAAATACAAAAAATTAGCCGGGCGTGGTGGTGGGCGCCTGTAGTCCCAGCTACTCGGGAGACTGAGGCAGGAGAATGGCATGAACCCGGGACGTGGAGCTTGCAGTGAGCTGAGATCGTGCCACTGCACTCCAGCCTGGACGACAGAGTGAGACTCCATCTCAAAAAAAAAAAAAAAAAAAAGAAAGAAATGAGTGCATCCCAGGGAAAAAAGGGCTCTTGGACCCTGACCATCGGTGCCCTTAATCAGTATAGATTCAGAATTAGGTTTCCCTTCATATCCTCCCTCTCTAGTCGGAATTAGTGTCTGTTTTAGAAATGAGGAAATGGGCTCTGGGCGAATCCTGGCCAGGGTGAGTGGTGTTGAGATGATGAGTTTTTGCTGCAGTTGGGAAAGGCAGGCTTGGAGTCTGATGTGGAAGGACGCGAGGATGGCGTCCCGGGTTCAGGCCACGGATGAGGCCAAAGGGGAGCAGAAAGGACAGTGTGAGCGAGAAGGGAAGGGAGGGAACAAGTGAGGGAGCCTGGGAAGGTGTTGGCCCAAGACGAAACCCTGGATGCTGGCAGCTGGGGAGCAAGGTGATGTTCTTTAAAAGAGAATTCACAGTCTTCAGCACAGGGGCGGCAGGTCGCTCCTGCTGCTCAGGCTGGCTGGCACCAGGGCTGCTCCCAGGCTCACTGTCGGGGACCCAGCCGTCTCTCAGCCACACCCCATGCCCTAGCATACGCAGCCCCTAGGGCCCAGTTGGGAAAGCCCCAGTCCCACCTCTGGCCACGTCGCTTTGGGCTACATGTGTCGCCTTCCTGAGCTTTAGCTCTCTTGAAGATGGGGGTCAGGCAGATCCACGTTACTGTGATATAATATCTGTAAAGCTTCTAGCCCAGGGCCTGGCACATAGTGCTTAGAGAATTTTCCTTCCTTCCTAATTTCCCTACTGAAGGAACAACTTTTTTAAAGTAACTCTTGAAAAGTTAGGGTCCCATTACATTCAGGATATCGTGTGTTTGGGCTGGTCTAGTCATCAGACCTGAGGAACACGAAGGCTATAGAGGGCAGAGCCCCAGGCTGCAGGTGCTGAGGAACTGCCGCTGCCTGGGCCACCACGCGCCCCAGGGAGGGGCCCACAAGTAGCAGCTCGCAGAGCCAACTGGCCAGGCAGACCCTGGCTGCTGACATGTGCTTCATTCTTCACTGGGGAGCTGGTGTGGGGTCCTGTTCTTCTGAGTAATGAGCAAGATTGGGGTGCAGGCCCAAGACTGCTGTGTATTGGTAAAGAGGGCAAACCCTGCCCTGTCCCCTCCTTGAGCAGAGCCTGGCAGGGTACGTGTGGGCATTGGCCTTGATTCACACGGGCATCCTGCAGCCCCAACAAGATGACACCCTTCTGTGTTCTTGGAGGTAGGTGCCCATTAGCTCAACTGCTGGCCTGCATTCCCAGGGCTTGCTTTTACTTGTCTGTGGTGATGTTGTGCCATGGCCTCTGTGTGTGTTCCTGCTTATTGGTGTTTTCTGCCAAGTAGTCAGGAACCTCCTTGGGCAAGAGCATGTGCATGTACGTGCTTGGGAACAGCTCAATCTTAGCTCCCGCAGGCCCCAGCCGCCTTAGCAGTTCTGCGTGTGTGAACTTTATGGAAGCAGAAAGGGCTGGTGACACTTGGGTTCTTGGGGTTTGTCAGGGGAGGGCACCAAATTGGTCTTGAGGAAGCAGTTAGGTGAGCCCCAGTGACAGTCTTAAGCACAGTGATTGGCAGATAGCAAGTGAAGGAGGGGCAAGGCTGCCACCACTTCTGGCTTCTGGTGAAATTTTACTGGACTGATTCCTAGGAAACTGCTGTTTGTCTTTGAGACCTTTCCACATCAGATGGCCCATGAAGCGTTCCACAGGGACCTTTGGTACAATCCATCTGTCCTACGTGGGCCATCAGAATCCCCTTCTGCACATGGGCTGGAAGAGGAGAGAAGCCCTCCAGCCTGGGGATGGGAGACCTAGGGGTCTCAGGTTCCTGAGAGGTCGAAAGGATTAACATAGTCCAGCTCTGTCTGAGCCTCAGAAAACCTGCCCTCCCTGTTAGAGGCCATGGGAAGAGTGTTCTTTTTAAGCATGAAGAACTGACTGTGGGCCAGGTGTAGTGGCTCACGCCTGTAATCCCAACACTTTGGGAGGCCGAGGTGGGCAGATCAGCTGGGGCCAGGAGTTCTAGACCAGCCTAACATGGCAAAACCACATCTCTCCTAAAAATACAAAAATTAGCCGGGTGTGGTGGCGTGCACCTGTGATCCCAGCTATTTGGGAGGCTGAGGCACAAGAATCACTTGAACCCAGGGGGCAGAGGCTGCAGTGAGCCAAGAGCACACCACTACACTCCAGTCTGGGCAATAGAGCAAGACTGTCTCAAAAAAAAAAAAAAAAAAAAAAAAAAAAGACTGTCATTAGCCAAGCATGGTGGCGTGTACCTGTAGTCCCAGCTACTTGGAAGGCTGAGGTGGGAGGATTGCTTGAGCCCAGGAGGTCAAGGCTGCAGGGAGCCAAGGCGACAGAGCGATGTCTTGTCTCAAAAACAAACAACTAGCTGTGTTGACTAGAGGCAGCTGTGAAACTGTCCTAAAAGGCTGGACTTCGAGAAGTTTCTTCCACAGATTGACCAGGTACTGTAGGTTTCAGTCACAACTGGGGTCCTGACACTGGCAAAACCCCACCAGCTGCCCCACAAGTGGGGCCTGCCCTGAGGTCAGGGAGTTCTCTGCTGTACTGGTTCCTTTATGCACTAGGAAGGCAGACATGCCCTGAGGAGCCCTCAGAGTCCAACCCCAGCACCCCCACTAGGTCATTGCTGCCTTTAATCACATTCCAGATCCAGAGCCACACAGTGGCCCTGGCATTGGTCTCGGGTGTGTCCCATATCAGCAGCACATCTGCAGAGGGGCGTGAGTGCAGGCTCCCTGCTGAAAGCTCCCAGGGGTACCACGGAACAGCGGCTGTTGGTGGTGGACCCTGTGGAGGCTCCTGGCCTTCACTGTGTGTCCCTTGTCTTCCAGGTGAGACTGTGGAGATGAGAAGGTGGTGGACACTCGTGATGGAATGGAAATCGTCCTACCGTGCAGCCACACCCTGCCCTGCCCCGCCCCGCCCCGCCCGCGTGCCTGCCCATGCCAGCACTTCCTTAAGTTCTCACATCACACTCAAACCAGTGACACCACAGGAAAGAAAGACCCAAGACGTTGGAATGGCTGTTTCCATGGACACAATCTCCATAGTGACAATGTGGGGGGAGGGGGGAGGGGTGGGATGATGGGGAAAGGGTGGGGGGAATTAAAAGGGAGGGATAAATATATATATATAAATCTATTTTTAGTCTGGAAAGACTTTGTTTAAATGAAAGGTGCGCTATCCCTTTTGATTCTGTTTTAAAATTATCTCGTTAAAGATCTCCAAATTTGTTCCGATGACAAGTGAAATTTAAATGTGAGATTGAACTGAACAAACCCTCATCTCATGAAGGACGGGGTGTGTGTGTGGCGTTGATCTTTAGCCTGTCTCACACCAGTTCAGAAAACACTAGACCCAGGATTGAAAAAGCAAACCACAGCAGAACCATCCTTTTGTCATTAATTTGTCTCAAAGTGGGAAGGTTTTGGGGGAGGGGGAAATACAGGGATGGTCCATGTTTTCAAGAGTAGGGGAATGATGTTTAAACACAAAAATAAATTTTTTTTCATTTCCAGAAACACTATTTATTTATGGTTTTTTTTTTTTAATTTTTTCTTTTTGGGGGTGAAATTGGCAGATGCCTGAGGTCATAGCTGTGTCCTGGGTCACTGTGGCTGGTGAGGACCTCAAGGACCCCATCAAGTGTACACAGCAGCAGCAAAATCAAGGGATGACCCTCCTCTGGGGCCCCCTGTCCTCAGCACATTCCAGGCAGCTGTGCCCTGACCCACAGGGACCCGTGGGGATGGGAGGAGGTCCAGGCCTGTGTTGCCAGAGCTGGCAGTGTGAGCTGTAGGCAGGGACGGGGAGGGACTGTCGCTGTGATCAGAGTGGGTTAAGCTGACCAGGAACACCCATTTAACCCCTTTTTCTTTTTGCTTTCATTTTTATAAAGGAAAAGAGGACCTGTCAGATAGGCAGCCCCATGCTACGTGATTCTTTATGTTGTGTTGTTTTGTTTTGTAAATTGTATAATTTTTAAATATCTGAGTTTTAAAAAAAGAAAAAAGTACAAAAAAATCTTGTTATGGCCTTAAGAAGGGGTTAGTGCATCTTTCAGGGGTCACTCTGCCATGGGGATAAAATAGCTGTTTCACAAACAGTTTTATTTAAAAAAACAAAAAACAAAAAAAATCAAAAAATCAAAAAAATAATAAACTTCATTTTAACCTTGTTTCCTCTTCTGTTTACTTTAAAGTGAATGCGTCTCTTCCTTCTCCCATTCTAACCCCCAAAGGGTAGCTCTGGTTCTCCAGAGGAGGCCATGATCAGAACCTGTCTGTCCCATTCCTGGCCTCTCGATGGCCACGCAGCCGGGAAGCAAACAAAATATAGGGTTCTTCTGCCACTCCTCTGGGCAGGTGGAGTGTGGCCAGTGTATGGGGACAGTCAGATTTACTCAAGTTGATATGAAGACATATTTCCAATCAACATTAAGGGTTATAAAAAAATAATGGAATGTTAATGGACTTTTTTAGAGAATGGAAATACTGGAAGGAATATTGTGAAGCAGAAATAAGCAATTATAAATGAGTTCTG
Source organism: Homo sapiens (assembly GCF_000001405.40). Lineage (NCBI taxonomy): Eukaryota > Metazoa > Chordata > Mammalia > Primates > Hominidae > Homo > Homo sapiens. The sequence goes on along the minus strand of NW_009646207.1, from coordinate 62,451 downwards.
TGTTCATCAATTTGGGGCAGCAGAAATGGCAGATTAATTGTATTTTAATGGCTACATCAAGCAGTCCATTTCTCATTTCACTCCGCCAGGATGGAGGTGTGGGTGGGTGCGCCGTGCCGGCCGTAGGACCAAGCTTAGGCAACTGAACAGGACCTGCACAGAAATGATGGCTTTTTTGAGCTAGTTGTTGTCTCATTCTGGTCTTGACTTGGCATTAATACAGTTAAAATGAAATGGATAGACTTCAGGTGTCAAGGGCTAAACCACAAAACTTGAAAAATATGTATCTTGAGGAAAATATTTTCCTGACAGCAAATGTTTGTCATTTTGTCTTTTATTCTTTTGTCCCCTTTTGATTTGCCTGAGTGGAGCACTTGTGATTGTTCTAGGTCTTTCCTTAAATTGGCTTCAGTAATGACCTTCACTGGGGAGTGGCAGTGATACACGCATGCCTCCTGACTCCAGTTTCTGGCTTCTGCAGTTCTCCTCAACTGCTCAAGTGCCTTTTAGTTCCTTTAGTGTTTGTCTTAATTGATTTTTTTAAAGTAGTTTTATGTTCACAGAAGGATTAAGCTGACGGTACAGACAGTTCCCATATAACCCCTTCCCCCCGTATGCATACCTTTCCCTCTATCAACATCCCAACCAGAGTTGGCATACTGTTTTCACCCAAAGTCCATAGTTTATACTAGGGGCCACTCCCGGTGGTGTACATTTTATGGCCTTTGACAAATGTATAAAGACCTGGATCTGGCAGGGCGTGGTGGCTCTCGCCTATAATCCCAGCATTTTGGGAGGCTCAGGTGGGTGTATCGCTTGAGTTCGAGAACAGCCTGGGCAACATGGCGAAACCCCATCTCTACATAAAAATACAAAAATTAGCCAGGCATGATGGTGCATGCCTGTAGTCTCAGCTACTTGGGAGGCTGAGATGGGAGGATCACTTGAGCCCAGGAGGTCGAGGCTACAGTGAGTCGTGATCGCGCCACCACACTTCAGCCTGGGTGACAGCAAAATCCTGTCTCAAAAAGACGAGGACGCACCATGATCCAGAGTAGTTTCACTGCTCCAGGGATCCTCCGTGTCCCACTGTTCATTCCTCCTTAGCCCCAGTCCCTCACCGCTGAGCCTTTTACTGTCTGCAAAGTTTTGCCTTTTCCAAAGTATCATATAGTTGAGATTAGATAGTAGGTAGCCTTTTTTAGATTGGCTTCATTCACTTAGTAATGTGCATTTAAGGTTCACCCGTGTCTTTTCATGACTTGATAGCTTGTTTCTTTTTAGTGATAAATAATTCCATTGTCTGGCTGTACCACAGTTTATCCATTCAACTGCTGAAGAACATCTTGGTTGCTTTCAAGTTTTGACAATTACAAATGAAGCTGCTGTAAACATCCCTTTGCAGGTTTTTGTGTGGACATAAGGCCTCAACTCCTTTGGGTAAGTACAGGAAGCACGATTGGTGGATTGTATGGTAAGAGTATGTCTAGTTTTGTAAGAAATTGCCAAACTGTCTGGATCACCTGAGGTCAGGAGTTTGAGACCAGCCTGGCCAACATGGTGAAACCCTGTCTCTACTAAAAATACAAAAATCAGCCAGGCATGGTGGCTCACGCCTGCAGTCCCAGCTAAACGGGAGGCTGAGGTGGGAGGATTGCTTGAACGCAGGAGGCAAAGGTTCCAGTGAGCTGAGATCATCGTGCCACTGCACTCCTAGCCTGGGTGACAGAGTGAGTGAGACTCTGTCTCAAAAAAAAAAAAAAAAAAAAAAAAACTGAGAAAAGGAAAAGAAATTGCCAAACTTTCTTCCAAAGTGTCTGTACCATTTTGTACTCCCACCAGCAATGAATGAGTTCCTGATGCTCCACATCCTTGCCAGCATTTGGTGTTGTCAGTGTTCTGGATTTAAGCCATTCTAATAGGTGTGTATATAGCCATTTATTTTTTTAATACTCATAAAGTTTTTAAATTGTGGTTAAAAAAATGTACCATCATAACAGTCACAGTACAGTTTAGTGGGAAATGTGTTCAGATTGTTGTGCAACCAATCTCCAGAATTTTTCATTTTATACAACGGAAGCTTTACCCATTAAACTGCCCCCCTGCAGGCTGGCCCTGCCCCTGGAGCTTTCCATTTCTGTTTCTAGGGTACAAGCAGCCCTCGATACCCACAGGCTCCGCATCCACAAATTCAACCACACATCAAAGATAACTTGAGAAAGTATAACAACTAAAAATACAAATAAGAGCAGTACAGTATAGCAACTATTTATGTAGCATTTACACTGTATTAGGCATTACAAATAATCTAGAGATGATTTAAAGTATACAGGAGCATTTGCATAGGTATACTATGCCATTTTACATAAGGAACCTGAGCATCCTTGGGTTTTGGTATTTACCGGGGGTCCTGGCACCAATCCCCTCCAGGATACCCAGACACAACTATTCCACTGCCCATAACCCCGTCCCCTTGCAGCTGTGGAAACGCAGAGGTGCTGCTCTGAGGGCAGACAGACCCCACCACTCAGCACTCTTGAGTCGGACCCAGCAGAAACCCATCCCATGGGAGGAGCTGGGAATTGGAGGGTCTCTCCCAGTAGCATTGCTATGCCTGGCAGGGGGAAGGGCAAGAACAAGCAAAATGCTCCAACTTGACTACCCTTCCCAGTGCAGTCCCTCCCTGGCTCTGCACTAGCTGGCATTGCAGCATCCTAACTAGTTTCTAGAATTCTCACGATGTTTTGGTCTCCTATAGCTTTAACATTGAGCTCTCTAAGAGAACGAGAGCCCGCAGTTTCCTAGTCTACCACTTGCTGACATATTTTCACACCATCTCACTTGGCAACGTCCATAGGGCCTGCCAGGGCACAGTGCACTTTTTACCATGACACAGCAGTACCACTGTTCAGGGAAGGCAGGTTGGATCTGTTTCCTAAAAATAATAAATCCCAGAAACATCTATACTGACCATTAATAGAATGTAATGTCCAAACAGTATAGAATAGTAGCTCAGCATACACATTGGATGTGGACTCCTAACACCGCTGTGTGACTTGAACCTTGTTATGTGATCTCTGAGCCTCAGTCTCTGTGCCTTGGGGACCATAAAACCACCTCCTTAGGGGGCTGTGGGAGGATTAATGAGCTAGAGCACACAGTCTGACCAGCAGTTTCTGGCACATAAGTGCCCGATCAATGGAAGCCACAGGTGCACAATGATTGGAAAAGGCCACAGGCATTGTTATTAAATGTTTTCCTCATGCTGCCATATCTTGAATTACAGGCCTCTGGCTGGTAAGGAGGGCACTCGGGAGGACACTGCCCACATTGCAGGCATGCCTGTCCCTGCCCTTCACACCCCCATCATGATTCATGATGACTGCTTGGGGAGGGCCTGACACCTCAAAAGGCCAAGAGTGCATACAGGTAATGTATAAAGGGCCACCATGTAACAAGCACCCAGACCATCCTGCTGTCCCTGCACCTTGATTCTCTCACAGTCCCAAATAGAACAGTGCTGCCATGTAGGACAGGAACATTCATTCAGCTGAGGCCAGTTTGGGAGACCACAAGCCAGATCTGAGAAGTCCCCAGATAGGCATGGGTCTTGCTCTCTCTGTCAGTTGAGTAGCTTCAAAACTTCTGTTGGGCCAGGTGGCTCATGCCTCTATTTCCAACACTTTGGGAGGCCAAGGCAGGAGGATCACTTGAAGCCAGGAGTTCCAGACCAGCGTGGGCAACATAGTGAGGACCCATCTCAACAAAAAAATTAGCCGAGCGTAATGATGTGCACCTGTAGTTCCAGCTACTCGGGACGCTAAAATAGGATCTCTTGATTGAGCACAGGAGTTTGAGTGAGCTATGATCACAGCTCTGCACTCCAGCCTGGGCAACAGAGCAAGATCTTGTCTCTAAAAAATATATATATATTTTTAAATTTTAAATAAACTGTTCTCCCTGCCTTTTGTTCCCCAGATCCAGTCTTCATCCAGACCTGAAAAGACCCAGGCTCCAGCTGCTGGCCTCCTGCTGCCCCTCAGGCCACCTGCACAGGAAATTCCAGGGGTGGGTTGGTCCCACTGCCAGTGCCGTGGCCTACAGTGCTAGGCAGCCCCTCAGTCAGCTAGACAAAGTTCTCCATGAATCCTTCCCAGAAAGTCCTGTTCCAGCCTGGGACAACGTCCCCATGGACCCTCATGGCACTGCTGGCTTGTCATGTCAGCTATGTTACCTTCCTACTCCCCGTGGTCATCATTACGTTGGGGCATTGACTCACAGCCTTACCACCATGCTCCCAGTACACAGCCCAGCACCCAGTACAATCCATACCTCCAACTTGGGTGGAGCTCCCATGCCAGGCCACCTCTCGCCCACCACCCTAATCTGGGTAGGCAACTAGAGCGAGCAGGGGCAAGGACCTCTGCAGCAGCCCATACCCGCCCTGGCCTGACCCTGCACCCACTGGCAGCACAGTCAACACAGCAGGTTGGCTCACAGCAGAAGGCAAAGGCCATCATCAGCTCCCTTTATAAGGGAACGGTCATGCACTGGGTGTGCTGAGAGTGTCCTGCCTGGTCCTCTGTGCCTGGTGGGGTGGAGGTGCCAGGTGTGTCCAGAGGAGCCCAATGGGCAGTGAGGCAGCCATGGGGCTGGATGCACTGGTGCCCCTGGCAGTGACAGTGGCCATCTTCCTGCTCCTGGTGGACCTGATGCAGCAGCACCAACGCTGGACTGCACGCTACCCGCCAGGCCCCCTGCCACTGCCCGGGCTGGGCAACTTGCTGCATGTGGACTTCCAGAACATATACACCTTCAACCAGGTGAGGGAGGAGGTCCTGAGGATCCCCCACCACCAGCAAACATGGGTGGTGGGTGGAGCCACAGTCTGGACAAGAAGCCAGGCTGAGAAGGGGAAGCAGATTTGAGGGACTTCCTGGGGGAGGGCATTTATGCATGGCATGAAAGATGGGATTTTCCAAAGGCCAAGGAAGAGTAGGGCAAGGGCCTGGAGGTGGAGCTGGACTTGGCAGTGGGCGTGCAAGCCCATTGGGCAGCATATGTTAGGAGCACAAAGTCCCCTCTGCTGACACCAGAAGGAAAGGCCTTGGGAATGGAAGACGAGTCAGGGTCCTGTGTGCCGTTTAAATCAGGAAATCAGGCTGTGCGTGGTGGCTCACGCCTATAATCCCAGCACTTAAGGAAGCCAAGGTGGGCGGATCACCTGAGGTCAGGGGTTCCAGATGAGTCTGGCCAACATGGCAAAAACCGGTCTCTACTAAACATACAAAAAATGAGCTGGGCACAGTGGTGCACGCCTGCAATCCCAGCTACTTGGGAGGCTGAGGCAGGAGAATTGCTTGAACTTAGGAGGCAGAGGTTGTAGTGAGTGGAGATTGTGCCATTGCCTTGCAACCTCGGTGACACAGCCAGACAATGTCTAAATAAACGAATAAGAAATCAGGCCGGGCGCGGTGGCTCACGCCTGTAATCCCGGCCCTTTGGGAGGCTAAGGCGGGCGGATCATGAGGTTAGGAGATCGAGACCATCCTGGCTAACACAATGAAACCCGTCTCTACTAAAGATACAAACCAATTAGCCAGGCGAGGTGGTGGGCACCTGTAGTCCCAGCTACTTGGGAGGCTGAGGCAGGAGAATGGCATGAACCCATGAGGCAGAGCTTGAAGTGAGCTGAGAACACACCATTACACTCCAGTCTGGGCGACAGAGCGAGACTCTGTCTCAAAAAAAAAAAAAAAAAAAAAAAAAAAATCAACGGCTGGGCGCGGTGGCTCACACCTGTAATCCCAGCATCTTGGGAGACCAAGGTGGGGGGATCACAAGGTCAGGAGTTCGAGACCAGCCTGGCCAACATGGTGAAACCCTGCCTCTACTAAAAATACAAAAATTAGCGGGGCACGGTGGTGGGCACCTGTAATCCCAGCTACATGGGAGGCTGAGGCAGGTGAATTGCTTGAACCCGGGAGGTGGAGGTTGCAGTGAGCCAAGATCGCGCCATTGCGCTCCAGCCTGGGTGACAGAGCCAGACATGGTCTAAATAAATGAGTAAGTTAGAAATCAAGGATGAAGGGATATAGTGGACCCGGTTCAAACCTTTTGCACTGTGGGTCCTCGGGCCTCACTGCTCACCGGCATGGACCATCATCTGGGAATGGGATGCTAACTGGGGCCTCTCGGCAATTTTGGTGACTCTTGCAAGGTCATACCTGGGTGACGCATCCAAACTGAGTTCCTCCATCACAGAAGGTGTGACCCCATCCCCGCCCCAGGATCGGGAGGCTGGGTCTCCTCCTTCCACCTGCTCACTCCTGGTAGCCCCGAGGGTCGTCTAAGGTTCAAATAGGACTAGGACCTGCAGTCTGGGGGGACCCTGGCCTGATGGAGGCCCTGACCCAACGGAGGCCCTGACCCTCCCTCTACAGCTGCGGCACCGCTTTGGGGACGTGTTCAGCCTGCAGCTGGCCTGGATGCCGGTGGTCGTGCTCAATGGGCTGGCGGCCGTGCGTGAGGCTCTGGTGACCTGCGGCGAGGACACCGCCGACCGCCCGCCTGCGCCCATCTACCAGGTCCTGGGCATCGGGCCGCGCTCCCAAGGCAAGCGGCGGTGGGGGACAGAGACTGCGTTTCCGTGGGTCCTGGGTGGGCGGTGACCGTAGCCCAAGCTGGGCTGAGAGGGCGTGGGGTTGTGGACTTGGGACACATAGAAAGGCCAGTGAGTGGGTTGGGGACAGCGAGCCAGGAAACCACTTCCACTGGGGAGGTGCGAGTCTGTGGGCGGGAGGAAGAGGGGCTTGTGAGTGGGCGGGGCAACTGCCGAGACCCACCAGGAACCGGGTGGGCGGAGCTGGCGCCTTTCCCAGCTGGAAGCGGGTGTCTAGAAGCCGGGATGGACTCTGCTGTGGGCTCAGTATGGGCGGGGCGGGACGGGCGGGATCTTCCCTGAGTGGAAAGGCAGTCAGGGTCGGAAGAGCCAAGGTGGGGCCAAGACCCAAGCAAGGTGAGTGAGCAAAGAGCAGGCCCTGTGCCCAGCTGGACAGGGCCAGGGACTGCGGGAGACCAGGAAAAGCACAGGGTTGGAGTGGGCGGCGGAGGGCGGGGCCAAGGCCTCCATGACCACGCCCATGTGTCCGTCCCGCCCCCAGGGGTGTTTCTGGCACACTACGGACACGCGTGGCGCGAGCAGAGGCGCTTCTCCGTGTCCACCTTGCGCAACTTGGGCCTGGGCAAGAAGTCCCTGGAGCGGTGGGTGACCGAGGAGGCCGCCTGCCTCTGTGCCGCCTTCGCCGACCAAGCCAGTGGGTGATGGGCAGAGGGGCACAAAGCGGGAACTGGGAAGGTGGAGGACTGGGAAGGCGACCCCTGACCCGCATCTCCCGCCCCCAGGACGCCCCTTTCACCCCAACGGCCTCCTGAACAAAGCGGCGAGCAACGTGATCGCCTCCCTCACCTGCGGGTGCCGCTTCGAGTACGACGACCCTCGCTTCCTCAGGCTACTGGACCTAGCTCAGAAGGGATTGAAGGAGGAGCTGGGCTTTCTGTGAGAGATGTGGAGCGAGGGACCGCAGGGTCTCTGCAGGGCGAGCTCCTGAGAGGTGCCGGGACTGCAGCCGGACCTCCAAGGAGCAGGGTTTGCATAGAGTGGTTTGGGAAAGGACATTCCAGAAGAGCTCACTGCTAGAGGAAGGGCCTTGAGGAGGAGGAGACATCTCAGATACGGTCGTGGGAGAGGTGTGCCCGGGTCAGGGGGCACCAAGAAAGGCCAAGGACCCTGTGCCTCCTGTCCACATTGGAGATTTTGATTTTTAGGTTTCTCCTCTGGCAGCCCAGGGCAAGGAGAGAGGGTGGAGGCTGGCACTTGGGGAGGGACTTGGGGAGGTGAGTGGTGGGGACAGGCAGGCCCTGGGTCTTCCCTGGAGGCAGCTGGGGCCTGAGACTGGTCCAGGTGAACGCAGAGCACAGGAGGGATTGAGACCCCGTTCTGTGTCAGCTGTAGATGCTGAATGTTGTCCCCCTCCTCCTGCGCATCCCAGGGCTGGCTGGCAAGGTCCTACGCTCCCAAAAGGCTTTCCTGACCCAGCTGGATGAGCTGCTGACCGAGCACAGAATGATCTGGGACCCAGCCTAGCCACCCCGAGACCTGACTGAGGCCTTCCTGGCAGAGAAGGAGAAGGTGAGAGTGGCTGACACGGTAGGGACCAGGGGTGGTGGGTTGAGCGTCCGGGAGGAATGAGGCAGGCAAAAGGTGGGTCCATTGGATCACTTGGCAAGTGGCACCTGGGCTGACAGGTGCAGAATGTGGAGGTCATTTGGGGGCTTTCCCGTTCTGTCCCCTGAGTACCCTCTCAGCCCTGCTCAGGCCAAGGGGAACCCTGAGAGCAGCTTCAATGATGAGAACCTGCGCATGGTGGTGGCTGACCTGTTCTTTGCCGGGATGGTGACCACCTCGATCACGCTGGCCTGGGGCCTCCTGCTCATGATCCTACGCCCGGATGTGCAGCGTGAGCCCAGCTGGGGCCCAGTGCAGGGGGCAAGGGAGGAAGGGTACAGGTGGGGGCCCCTGAGCTTAGCTGGGACACCCGGGACTCCAAGCACAGGCTTGGCCAGGTTCCTGTAAGCCTAACCTCCTCCAACACAGGAGGCAGGAGAGTGTCAGGGCTGGTCCCCTGGGTGCTGACCCATTGTGGGGACGCGTGTCTGTCCAGGCCGTGTCCAACAGATCGACAACGTGATAGGGCAGGTGTGGTGACCAGAGATGGGTGACCAGGCTCGCATGCCCTGCACCACTGCCGTGATTCACGAGGTGCAGCGCTTTGGGGACATCGTCCCCCTGGGTGTGACCCATATGACATCCCGTGACATCGAAGTACAGGGCTTCCGCATCCCTAAGGTAGGCCTGGCACCCTCCTCACCCCAGCTCAGCACCAGCCCCTGGTGATAGCCCCAGCATGGCCACTGCCAGGTGGGCCCAGTCTAGGAACCCTGGCCACCCAGTCCTCAATGCCACCACATCGACTGTCCCAGCCTGGGTGTGGGGTGCAGAGTATAGGCAGGGCTGGCCTGTCCATCCAGAGCCCCAGTCTAGTGGGGAAGGCAGACCAGGACCTGCCAGAATGTTGGAGGACCCCAATACCTGTAGGGAGAGGGGGTAGCGTGGGCGCTCCCAGGAGGTGTGACTGCGCCCTGCCGTGGGGTCGGAGAGGGTGCTCTGGAGCTTCTCGGGCACAGGACTAGTTGACAGAGTCCAGCTGTGTGCCAGGCAGTGTGTGTCCCCTGTGTGCTTGGGGGTCCCAGCATCCTAGAGTCCAGTCCCCACTCTCACCCTGCATCTTCTGCCCAGGGGATGATGCTCTTCACCAACCTGTCATCGGTGCTGAAGGATGAGGCCGTCTGGGAGAAGCCCTTCCGCTTCCACCCCGAACACTTCCTGGATGCCCAGGGCCACTTTGTGAAGCTGGAGGCCTTCCTGCCTTTCTCAGCAGGTGCCTGTGGGGAGCCCGGCTCCCTGTCCCCTTCCGTGGAGTCTTGCAGGGGTATCACCCGGGAGCCAGGCTCACTGACGCCCCTCCCCTCCCCACAGGCCGCCGTGCATGCCTCGGGGAGCCCCTGGCCCGCATAGAGCTCTTCCTCTTCTTCACCTCCCTGCTGCAGCACTTCAGCTTCTCGGTGCCCACCGGACAGCCCCGGCCCAGCCACTCTCGTGTCGTCGGCTTTCTGGTGACGCCATCCCCCTATGAGCTTTGTGCTGTGCCCCGCTAGAGTTGCTCCTCAGCTGGGACCCTGTTGTACAATAAATTAGTCTAGTGGCTCCCACTTGGTTTCTGTATCCAGTCTGGGCCCCTGCCAAGGTCCTGGTTGTGTTGGGTCGTCAGTCACCTGCCTGATGTCAGTGCTCACCCCTCACCCCTCACCCCTCACCTCATTCATTCATTTTTTTTTTTTTTTTTTTGAGATGGAGCCTACTCTGTCACCCAGGCTGGAGTGCAGTGGTGCAATCTCAGCTCACTGCAACCTCCGCCTCCAGAGTTCAAGCGATTCTCGTGCCTCAGCTTCCTGAGTAGCTGGGATTACAGGCACCGGGTACCACCCCCGGCTCATTTTTGTCTTTTTAGTAGTGATGGGTTTCGCCATGTTGGCCAGTCTGGTTTCAAACTCCTGACTTCACGTGACCACCAGCCTCAGCCTCCCAAAGTGCTGGGATTACAGGCGTGAGCCACCGAGACCAGCCTCACCTCATTCACTCTTACCTGGACGCCTGACTTTACTTGAGATACAGGCATAGTGATTCTCAGCAGGAAACAGCCTGCCCCCACGTCACGCCCAGAGACCCATCACTGGCTGCCTGGCTTGGTGACAAAGTCCATGCGTAAGTCTTGGCTGGGGTGGATATGAATAGGCATATGCCAAGAATCAACCCATTCCCTGGCTAGGGTGGGAGACTGTGTTGTGCTCCCCCAGACCACCCTCAGGTTCAGTGATTTCTAGAAGGTCTCACAGCCCTAGAAAAGCTGTTATTCTCCCTGTTAACAGTTTATTACAGAGAAGGGTACAGATTAAAGTCAGCAAAGATGAAAGGCACAGGGACCAGAGTCCAGAATGACCAGGCCAAGGCTGCAGCTCTCTTTTCTGGTGGACTCCTACAGGCAGTGCTTAATTCTCCCCCAACAGTAAGTGAGGCAGCAGAGAGCCCTGCCAGCCACGGAAGCTCACCTGGGCCTTGGTGTCCATGGTTTTTGTTGGGAGTTGGTCATCCTAGGCTTGAGCCCCCGCAGCATGGCTGACCTCAGTTACTCAGTCTCCAGCCCCTCCTGAAGTCAGATGGATACAGGCCTGACGGCCCCACCCTCGATCACATTGTTGGCATAAACTGTGTTGTACGGTCCAAGGCCCTAGCTATGTACAAAGACACTATTTCAGGCAGGACATTCCAAGGCCTTAGCAGATATCTCCCAGCCTCCTGTCAAGAGTCAGTTTGGACTCTTGGTCCAGTGGCTTGCATTGTGCAAGGAATGACTTCCCCACTTTTTACTACACAGGCCACCCCTCTTGGCTCTAACAGCAAAATGATATTAGTTTGAGCATCTGTGTGTGTGTGTGTGTGTGTGTGTGTGTGTGTTTTCTTGAGACAGGGTCTTGCTCTGTCACCGAGGCTGGAGTGCAGTGATGCCATCAGGGCTCACTGCAGCCTTGACTTCCTGGGTTCAAGCAATCCTCCCATCTCAGCCTCCCTAGTAGCTGGGACTGCAGGCACATGCCACCATGCTTTGCTAATTTTTGTATTTTTTGTAGAGACGGAGTTTCACCATGTTGGCCAGGCTGCTTTCGAACTCCCTATCTCAGGTCATCTGACTGCCTCAGCCCCCCAGAGTGCTGGGATTACAGGTGTAAGCTACTGTGCCCAGCCAAATTTCCTTCCTAATTTCTTCATTGAACCACTGGCCATTCCGGACCATATTGTTTAATTTTCACGTGTATGTATAGTTTCCAGAATTCCTCTTGTTGTTGATTTCCACTTTTATTCTGTTGTGGTCAGAGAAGATGCTTGATATTATTTTAACATTTGTAATGTTTTAAGACTTGCTTTGTGACCTAACATATGGTGTATCCTTGAGAATGATCCATGTGCTGAGGAGAAGAATGTGTATTCTGCAGACTTTAGACGAAGTGTTCTGTAAGTATCTAGTAGGTCCATTTCTTTTGTAGTGCAGATTAAGTCTAATGTTTTCTTATTGGGTTTCCATCTGGGACACCCGTCCAATGCTGAATGTGGGGTGTTGACGTCTTTAGCTGTTATTGCGTTAACGTCTCTCTTGGGCTCCAATAACATTTGCTTTACGTGCTCCAGTGTTGTGTGCATATGTATTTACAATTGTTATATTCTGTTGCTGGATGACCTTCTTTGTCTCCTCTTACAGTTTTTTTGGTTGTTGTTGTTTGTTTGTTTTGTTTTGGAGACGGAGTCTCGCTCTGTCACCCAGGCTGGAGTGCAGTGGCGCGATCTTGGCTCACTGCAAGCTTCGCCTCCCAGGTTGACGCCATTCTCCTGCCTCAGCCTCCTGAGTAGCTGGGACTACAGGCGCCCGCCACCACGCCTGGCTAATTTTTTGTATTTTTAGTAGAGACGGGGTTTCACCATGTTAGCCAGGATAGTCTCAATCTCCTGACCTCGTGATCCGCCCGTCTTGGCCTCCCAAAGTGCTGGGATTACAGGCGTGAGCCACCACACCCGGCCTCCTCTTACAGTTTTTGTTTTAAAATCTGTTCTGTCTAAGTATTGCTACTCCTGCTCTTTTTTGTTTTCCATTGGCATGGAGTATCTTTTTCCATCCCTTTATTTTCAGTCTATGTGTATCTTTACAGGTGAAGTGTGTTTCTTCTAGACAAAAGAGCATTGAGCTTTGCTTTTTCATCCATTCAGCCACTCTGTGTCTTTGTATTGGAGAGTTTAGTCCATTTACATTCAATGTTATTATTGCTAAGCAGGGACTTACTCCTGCTATTTTGTTATTTCTTTTCTCACTGTTTTGTGGTCTTCTCTTTTTTTTTTTTTTTCCTTGTCTTCCTTTTAATGAAGGTGATTTTCTCTGGTGGTATGATTTAATTTCTTGCTTTTTTTTGTGTGTGTATCCATTGTGTGTTTTTTCTTCTTTTCTTTTTGAGACACAGTCTCACTTATTGTGTGCTTTTTGATTTGAGGTTGCCGTGAGGCTTGCAAATATTATCTTATAACTCATTATTTTAAACGGATGACAACACTGATTGCGTAAACAAACATAAAGCAAAAGGAAGACTAATAAAAACTCTACACTTTAAGTTCATCTTAGTGCTTTTTAACTTTTTGTTGTTTCTCTTTTTTTGTTTTTGAGATAAAGTCTTGCTCTGTTGCCCAGGCTAGAGTGCAGTGGCACGATCTCAGCTCACTGTAACCTCCACTTCCCAGGTTCAACCGATTCTCCTGCCTCAGCCTCCTGGGTAGCAGGCGCCCACCACCATGCCCAGCTAAATTTTTTGTATTTTTAGTAGAGATGGGGTTTCACCATGTTGGCCAGGCTTGTCTCGAACTCCTGCCCTCAGGTGATCCACCCACCTCAGCCTTACAAAGTGCTGGGATTACCTGCGTGAGCCACCGGGTCCGGCCTCTTTATGTCTTACTGTACTGTCTGTCTTGAAAAGTACTTATTATTTTTGATTGGTTCATCATTTAGTCTAATTAAAATAAGAGTAGTTTACACACCACAATTACAGTATTATAATACTCTGTTTTTCTGTGTGCTTACTATTACCAGTGAGTTTTGTACCTTTAGATGATTTCTTCTTGCTCATTAATATCCTTTTTTTTTTCAGATTGAAAAACTCCCTTTAGCATTTCTTGTGGGATATAGGTCTGGTGTTGATGAAATCTCGCAGCTTTTGTTTGTCTGGGAAGGTCTTTATTTCTCCTTCCTGTTGGAAGGATATTTTTGCCAGATACGTTATTCTAGGCTAAAAGTTTTTTTTCCTTCAGCACTTTAAATATGTCATGCCACTCCCCCCTGGCCTGTAAGGTTTCCACTGGAAAGGTGGCTGCCCCATGTCATGTATTGGAGCTCTACTGCATGTTATTTGTTTCTTTTCTCTTGCTGCTTTTAGGATCCTTTCTTTATCCTTGACCTTTCGGAGTTTAATTATCAGATGCCTTGAGGTCGTCTTCTTTGGGTTAAATCTGCTTGGTGTTCTATAAACTTCTTGTACAAAAAATCAGCCAGGCATGGTGGTGGGCACCTGTAATCCCAGCTACTTGGGAGGCTGAGGCAGGAGAATCGCTTGAACCCTGGAGGTGGAGGTTGCAGTGAGCCGAGATCGCATCATTGCACTCCCACCTGGGCGACAGAGCAAAACTCCGTCTCAAAAAAAAAATTATTTGGGCTCGGTGGTGCCTGTAGTCCCAGCTACTTGGGAGGCAGGAGGTCCACTTGATGTTGAGATTGCAGTGAGCCATGATCCTGCCACTGCACTCCGGCCCGGGCAACAGAGTGAGACCCTGTCTAAAGAAAAAATAAAAATAAAAAAGCAACATATCCTAAATAAAGGATCCTCCATAATGTTTCCACCAGATTTCTAATCAGAAACATGGAGGCCAGGAAGCAGTGGAGAATGACGACCCTCAGGCAGCCCTGGAGGATGCTGTCACAGGCTGGGGCAAGGGCCTTCAGGCTACCAACTGGGAGCTCTGGGAACAGCCCTGTTGCAAACAGGAAGTCATGGCCCGGCCAGAGCCCAGAATGTGGGCTGAGCTGGGATCCACGTGACAGCTTTGAGGCTCACCGGGAGCAGCCTCTGGACAGGAGAGGTCCCATCCAGGAAACCTCGGGCATGGCTGGGAAGTGGGGTACTTGGTGCCGGGTCTGTATGTGTGTGTGACTGGTGTGTGTGAGAGAGAATGTGTGCCCTGAGTGTCAGTGTGAGTCTGTGTATGTGTGAATATTGTCTTTGTGTGGGTGATTTTCTGCATGTGTAATCGTGTCCCTGCAAGTGTGAACAAGTGGACAAGTGTCTGGGAGTGGACAAGAGATCTGTGCACCATCAGGTGTGTGCATAGCGTCTGTGCATGTCAAGAGTGCAAGGTGAAGTGAAGGGACCAGGCCCATGATGCCACTCATCATCAGGAGCTCTAAGGCCCCAGGTAAGTGCCAGTGACAGATAAGGGTGCTGAAGGTCACTCTGGAGTGGGCAGGTGGGGGTAGGGAAAGGGCAAGGTCATGTTCTGGAGGAGGGGTTGTGACTACATTAGGGTGTATGAGCCTAGCTGGGAGGTGGATGGCCGGGTCCACTGAGACCCTGGTTATCCCAGAAGCCTGTGTGGGCTTGGGGAGCTTGGAGTGGGGAGAGGGGGTGACTTCTCCGACCAGGCCTTTCTACCACCCTACCCTGGGTAAGGGCCTGGAGCAGGAAGCAGCGGCAAGGACCTCTGGAGCAGCCCATACCTGCCCTGGCCTGACTCTGCCACTGGCAGCACAGTCAACACAGCAGGTTCACTCACAGCAGAGGGCGAAGGCCATCATCAGCTCCCTTTATAAGGGAAGGGTCACGCGCTCGGTGTGCTGAGAGTGTCCTGCCTGGTCCTCTGTGCCTGGTGGGGTGGGGGTGCCAGGTGTGTCCAGAGGAGCCCAGTTGGTAGTGAGGCAGCCATGGGGCTAGAAGCACTGGTGCCCCTGGCCATGATAGTGGCCATCTTCCTGCTCCTGGTGGACCTGATGCACCGGCACCAACGCTGGGCTGCACGCTACCCGCCAGGTCCCCTGCCACTGCCCGGGCTGGGCAACCTTGCTGCATGTGGACTTCCAGAACACACCATACTGCTTCGACCAGGTGAGGGAGGAGGTCCTGGAGGGCGGCAGAGGTCCTGAGGATGCCCCACCACCAGCAAACATGGGTGGTGGGTGAAACCACAGGCTGGATCAGAAGCCAGGCTGAGAAGGGGAAGCAGGTTTGGGGGACGTCCTGGGGAAGGACATTTATACATGGCATGAAGGACTGGATTTTCCAAAGGCCAAGGAAGAGTAGGGCAAGGGCCTGGAGGTGGAGCTGGACTTGGCAGTGGGCATGCAAGCCCATTGGGCAACATATGTTATGGAGTACAAAGTCCCTTCTGCTGACACCAGAAGGAAAGGCCTTGGGAATGGAAGATGAGTTAGTCCTGAGTGCCGTTTAAATCACGAAATCGAGGATGAAGGGGGTGCAGTGACCCGGTTCAAACCTTTTGCACTGTGGGTCCTCGGGCCTCACTGCTCACCGGCATGGACCATCATCTGGGAATGGGATGCTAACTGGGGCCTCTCGGCAATTTTGGTGACTCTTGCAAGGTCATACCTGGGTGACGCATCCAAACTGAGTTCCTCCATCACAGAAGGTGTGACCCCCACCCCCGCCCCAGGATCAGGAGGCTGGGTCTCCTCCTTCCACCTGCTCACTCCTGGTAGCCCCGGGGGTCGTCCAAGGTTCAAATAGGACTAGGACCTGTAGTCTGGGGGGATCCTGGCTTGACAAGAGGCCCTGACCCTCCCTCTGCAGTTGCGGCGCCGCTTCGGGGACGTGTTCAGCCTGCAGCTGGCCTGGACGCCGGTGGTCGTGCTCAATGGGCTGGCGGCCGTGCGCGAGGCGATGGTGACCCGCGGCGAGGACACGGCCGACCGCCCGCCTGCGCCCATCTACCAGGTCCTGGGCTTCGGGCCGCGTTCCCAAGGCAAGCGGCGGTGGGGGACAGAGACCGCGTTTCCGTGGGCCCCGGGTGGACAGTGACCGTAGCCCAAGCAGCGCCGACAGGGCGTGGGGTCCTGGACGTGAAACAGAGATAAAGGCCAGCGAGTGGGCTGAGGACAGTGGGCCAGGAAACCACCTGCACGGGGGAGGTGCGAGTCTGTGGGCTGGGAGGGGGCGGGGCTACTGCCCAGACCCGCCAGAAGCCCGGTGGGCGAGGCTGATGCGTCGAAGTGGCGGTGGCGGGGACCGCGCCTATGCTGCGGGCTCAGTGTGGGCGGGACGGGCGGGATCTTCCTTGAGTGGAAAGGTGGTCAGGGTGGGCAGAGACGAGGTGGGGCCAAACCCCGCCCCAGGCAGGGGAGCAATGTGGGTGAGCAAAGAGTGGGCCCTGTGCCCAGCTGGACCGGGCTAGGGACTGCGGGAGACCTTGTGGAGCGCCAGGGTTGGAGTGGGTGGCGGAGGGTGGGGCCAAGGCCTTCATGGCAACGCCCACGTGTCCGTCCCGCCCCCAGGGGTGATCCTGTCGCGCTATGGGCCCGCGTGGCGCGAGCAGAGGCGCTTCTCCGTGTCCACCTTGCGCAACTTGGGCCTGGGCAAGAAGTCGCTGGAGCAGTGGGTGACCGAGGAGGCCGCCTGCCTTTGTGCCGCCTTCGCCGACCAAGCCGGTGGGTGATGGGCAGAAGGGCACACAGCGGGAACTGGGAAGGCGGGGGACGGAGAAGGCGACCCCTTACCCGCATCTCCCACCCCCAGGACGCCCCTTTCGCCCCAACGGTCTCTTGGACAAAGCCGTGAGCAACGTGATCGCCTCCCTCACCTGCGGGCGCCGCTTCGAGTACGACGACCCTCGCTTCCTCAGGCTGCTGGACCTAGCTCAGGGAGGGATCGAAGGAGGAGTCGGGCTTCCTGCGCGAGGTGCGGAGCAAGGGTCTTTGCAGGGCGAGCTCCTGAGAGGTGCCGGGGCTGGACTGGGGCCTCCGAAGGGCAGGATTTGCGTAGATGGGTTTGGGAAAGGACATTCCAGGAGACCCCACTGTAAGAAGGGCCTGGAGGAGGAGGGGACATCTCAGACATGGTCGTGGGAGAGGTGTGCCCGGGTCAGGGGGCACCAGGAGAGGCCAAGGACTCTGTACCCCCGTCCACGTTGGAGATTTCGATTTTAGGTCTCTCCTCTGGGCAAGGAGAGAGAGGGTGGAGGCTGGCACTTGGGGAGGGACTTGGTGAGGTCAGTGGTAAGGACAGGCAGGCCCTGGGTCTTCCTGGAGATGGCTGGGGCCTGAGACTGGTCCAGATGAACGCAGAGCACAGGAGGGATTGAGACCCCGTTCTGTCTGGTGTAGGTGCTGAATGCTGTCCCCGTCCTCCTGCACATCCCAGCGCTGGCTGGCAAGGTCCTACGCTTCCAAAAGGCTTTCCTGACCCAGCTGGATGAGCTGCTAACTGAGCACAGGATGACCTGGGACCCAGCCCAGCCACCCCGAGACCTGACTGAGGCCTTCCTGGCAAAGAAGGAGAAGGTGAGAGTGGCTGCCACGGTGGGGGGCAAGGGTGGTGGGTTGAACGTCCCAGGAGGAATGAGGGGAGGCTGGGCAAAAGGTTGGACCAGTGCATCACCCGGCGAGCCGCATCTGGGCTGACAGGTGCAGAATTGGAGGTCATTTGGGGGCTACCCCGTTCTATCCCCTGAGTATCCTCTCGGCCCTGCTCAGGCCAAGGGGAGCCCTGAGAGCAGCTTCAATGATGAGAACCTGCGCATAGTGGTGGGTAACCTGTTCCTTGCCGGGATGGTGACCACCTTGACCACGCTGGCCTGGGGCCTCCTGCTCATGATCCTACACCTGGATGTGCAGCGTGAGCCCAGCTGGGGCCCAAGGCAGGGACTGAGGGAGGAAGGGTACAGCTGGGGGCCCCTGGGCTTAGCTGGGACACCCGGGGCTTCCAGCACAGGCGTGGCCAGGCTCCTGTAAGCCTAACTTCCTCCAACACAGGAGGAAGGAGAGTGTCCCCTGGGTGCTGACCCATTGTGGGGACGCATGTCTGTCCAGTCCGTGTCCAACAGGAGATCGACGACGTGATAGGGCAGGTGCGGCGACCAGAGATGGGTGACCAGGCTCACATGCCCTACACCACTGCCGTGATTCACGAGGTGCAGCGCTTTGGGGACATCATCCCCCTGAGTGTGACCCATATGACATCCCATGACATCGAAGTACAGGGCTTCCGCATCCCTAAGGTAGGCCTGGCGCCCTCCTCACCCCAGCTCAGCACCAGCCCCTGGTGATAGCCCCAGCATGGCTACTGCCAGGTGGGCCCACTCTAGGAACCCTGGCCACCTAGTCCTCAATGCCACCACACTGACTGTCCCCGCTTGGATGGGGGGTCCAGAGTATAGGCAGGGCTGGCCTGTCCATCCAGAGCCCCCGTCTAGTGGGGAAGACAAATCAGGACCTGCCAGAATGTTGGAGGACCCAGCGCCTGCAGGGAGAGGGGGCAGTGTGGGTGCCTCTGAGAGGTGTGACTGCGCCCTGCTGTGGGGTCGGAGAGGGTACTGTGGAGCTTCTCGGGCGCAGGACTAGTTGACAGAGTCCAGCTGTGTGCCAGGCAGTGTGTGTCCCCCGTGTGTTTGGTGGCAGGGGTCCCAGCATCCTAGAGTCCAGTCCCCACTCTCACCCTGCATCTCCTGCCCAGGGAACGACACTCATCACCAACCTGTCATCGGTGCTGAAGGATGAGGCCGTCTGGAAGAAGCCCTTCCGCTTCCACCCCGAACACTTCCTGGATGCCCAGGGCCACTTTGTGAAGCCGGAGGCCTTCCTGCCTTTCTCAGCAGGTGCCTGTGGGGAGCCCGGCTCCCTGTCCCCTTCCGTGGAGTCTTGCAGGGGTATCACCCAGGAGCCAGGCTCACTGACGCCCCTCCCCTCCCCACAGGCCGCCGTGCATGCCTCGGGGAGCCCCTGGCCCGCATGGAGCTCTTCCTCTTCTTCACCTCCCTGCTGCAGCACTTCAGCTTCTCCGTGGCCGCCGGACAGCCCCGGCCCAGCCACTCTCGTGTCGTCAGCTTTCTGGTGACCCCATCCCCCTACGAGCTTTGTGCTGTGCCCCGCTAGAATGGGGTACCTAGTCCCCAGCCTGCTCCCTAGCCAGAGGCTCTAATGTACAATAAAGCAATGTGGTAGTTCCAACTTGGGTCCCCTGCTCACGCCCTCGTTGGGATCATCCTCCTCAGGGCAACCCCACCCCTGCCTCATTCCTGCTTACCCCACCGCCTGGCCGCATTTGAGACGGGTACGTTGAGGCTGAGCAGATGTCAGTTACCCTTGCCCATAATCCCATGTCCCCCACTGACCCAACTCTGACTGCCCAGATTGGTGACAAGGACTACATTGTCCTGGCATGTGGGGAAGGGGCCAGAATGGGCTGACTAGAGGTGTCAGTCAGCCCTGGATGTGGTGGAGAGGGCAGGACTCAGCCTGGAGGCCCATATTTCAGGCCTAACTCAGCCCACCCCACATCAGGGACAGCAGTCCTGCCAGCACCATCACAACAGTCACCTCCCTTCATATATGACACCCCAAAATGGAAGACAAATCATGTCAGGGAGCTATATGCCAGGGCTACCTCCCAGGGCTCAGTCGGCAGGTGCCAGAACATTCCCTGGGAAGGCCCCAGGAAAACCCAGGACCGAGCCACCGCCCTCAGCCTGTCACCTTGTGTCCAAAATTGGTGGGTTCTTGGTCTCACTGACTTCAAGAATGAAGCCGTGGACCCTCACGGTGAGTGTTACAGTTCTTAAAGATGGTGTGTTCAGAGTTTGTTCCTTCTGATGTTAAGACGTGTTCAGAGTTTCTTCCTTCTGGTGGGTGCGTGGTCTTGCTGGCTTCAGGAGTGAAGCTGCAGACCTTCACAGTGAGTGTTACGGCTCTTAAGGCTGCACGTACGGAGTTGTTCATTCTTCCTGGTGGGTTTGTGGTCTCACTGGCCTCAGGAGTGAAACTGCAGTCCTTCCAGTGTTACAACTCATAAAGGCAGTGTGGACCCAATGAGGGAGCAGCAGCAGCAAGACTTACTGCAAACAGCAAAAGAATGATGGCAACCAGGTTGCCGCTGCTACTTCAGGCAGCCTGCTTTTATTCCCTTATCTGACCCCCACCCACATCCTGCTGATTGGCCCATTTTACAGACAGTGGATTGGTCCACTTACAGAGAGCTGATTGGTGCATTTACAATCCCTGAGCTAGACACAGAGTACTGATTGGTATATTTACAAACCTTGAGCTAGACACAGAGTGCTGAATGGTGTATTTACAATCCCTTAGCTAGACATAAAGGTTGTCCCAGTCCCCACTAGATTAGCTAGATAGAGTAGACAGAGAGCACTGATTGGTGCGTTTACAAACCTTGAGTTAGACACAGGGTGCTGACTGGTGTGTTTACAAACCTTGAGCTAGACACAGAGTGCTGATTGGTGTATTTACAATCTTTTAGCTAGAAATAAAGGTTCCCCAAGTCCCCACCAGATTAGCTAGATAGAGTGCTAATTGGTGCATGCACGAACCCGGAGCTAGACACAGAGTGCTGATTGGTGCATATACAATCCTCTGGCTAGACATAAAAGTTCTCCAAGTCCCCACCTGACTCAGGAGCCCAGCCAGCTTCGCCTAGTGGATCCTATGCCAGGGCCACAGGCAGAGCTGCCTGCTAGTCCCACACCGGGCACCTGTACTCCTCAGCCCTTGGGCAGTGGACGGGACCAGGTGCCGTGGAGCAGTGGGAGGCACCCATCCGGGAGGCTCGGGCCTCGCAGGGAGCCCACCGTAGGGAGGCTTGGGCATGGCAGGCTGCAAGTCCTGAGCCCTGCCCCGCGGGGAGGTGACTGAGGCCTGGCGACAATTCAAGTGTGGTGAGCGCCGGCAGGCCAGCAGTACTGGGGGACCCGGTGCCCCCTCTGCAGCTGCTGGCCCAGGTGCTAAGCCCCTCACTGCCTGGGGCCAGAGGCACCAGCCGGCCGCTCCGAGTGCAGGGCCCGCTGAGCCCCTGCCCACCCAGAACTGGTGCTGGCCCGCGAGCAACCCAGGTTCCCGCACACGCCTCTCCCTCCATACCTCCCCGCAAGCAGACGGAGCCGGCTCCAGCCTCCACCAGTCCAGAGAGGGGCTCCCACAGTGCAGCGCTGGGCTGAAGGGCTCCTCAAGTGTGGTCAGAGCAGAAGCTGAGGCCGAGGAGGCGCTGAGAGCGAGCGAGGACCGCCAGCACGTTGACACCTCTCAACCTCACCACAGGACTGGCCACCTCTCTGGGCCCTCAGGGATGCTGCTGTCTGGACCCCTGACCAGTGACGAGTTCGCACTCAGGGCCAGGCTGGCGCTGGAGGAGGACACTTGTTTGGCTCCAACCCTAGGTACCATCCTCCCAGTAGGGATCAGGCAGGGCCCACAGGCCTGCCCTAGGGACAGGAGTCAACCTTGGACCCATAAGGCACTGGGGCGGGCAGAGAAGGAGGAGGTGGCATGGGCAGCTGAGAGCCAGAGACCCTGACCCTAGTCCTTGCTCTGCCATTACCCCGTGTGACCCCGGGCCCACCCTTCCCCACCCTTCCCCACCCTTCCCCACCCCGGGCTTCTGTTTCCCTTCTGCCAACGAGAAGGCTGCTTCACCTGCCCCGAGTCCTGTCTTCCTGCTCTGCCTTCTGGGGCTGTGGCCCTTGCTGGCCTGGAGCCCCAACCAAGGGCAGGGACTGCTGTCCTCCACGTCTGTCCTCACCGACATAATGGGCTGGGCTGGGCACACAGGCAGTGCCCAAGAGTTTCTAATGAGCATATGATTACCTGAGTCCTGGGCAGACCTTCTTAGGGAACAGCCTGGGACAGAGAACCACAGACACTCTGAGGAGCCACCTGAGGCCTCTTTTGCCAGAGGACCCTACAGCCTCCCTGGCAGCAGTTCCGCCAGCATTTCTGTAAATGCCCTCATGCCAGGGTGCGGCCCGGCTGTCAGCACGAGAGGGACGTTGGTCTGTCCCCTGGCACCGAGTCAGTCAGAAGGGTGGCCAGGGCCCCCTTGGGCCCCTCCAGAGACAATCCACTGTGGTCACACGGCTCGGTGGCAGGAAGTGCTGTTCCTGCAGCTGTGGGGACAGGGAGTGTGGATGAAGCCAGGCTGGGTTTGTCTGAAGACGGAGGCCCCGAAAGGTGGCAGCCTGGCCTATAGCAGCAGCAACTCTTGGATTTATTGGAAAGATTTTCTTCACGGTTCTGAGTCTTGGGGGTGTTAGAGGCTCAGAACCAGTCCAGCCAGAGCTCTGTCATGGGCACGTAGACCCGGTCCCAGGGCCTTTGCTCTTTGCTGTCCTCAGAGGCCTCTGCAAAGTAGAAACAGGCAGCCTTGTGAGTCCCCTCCTGGGAGCAACCAACCCTCCCTCTGAGATGCCCCGGGGCCAGGTCAGCTGTGGTGAAAGGTAGGGATGCAGCCAGCTCAGGGGAGTGGCCCAGAGTTCCTGCCCACCCAAGGAGGCTCCCAGGAAGGTCAAGGCACCTGACTCCTGGGCTGCTTCCCTCCCCTCCCCTCCCCAGGTCAGGAAGGTGGGAAAGGGCTGGGGTGTCTGTGACCCTGGCAGTCACTGAGAAGCAGGGTGGAAGCAGCCCCCTGCAGCACGCTGGGTCAGTGGTCTTACCAGATGGATACGCAGCAACTTCCTTTTGAACCTTTTTATTTTCCTGGCAGGAAGAAGAGGGATCCAGCAGTGAGATCAGGCAGGTTCTGTGTTGCACAGACAGGGAAACAGGCTCTGTCCACACAAAGTCGGTGGGGCCAGGATGAGGCCCAGTCTGTTCACACATGGCTGCTGCCTCTCAGCTCTGCACAGACGTCCTCGCTCCCCTGGGATGGCAGCTTGGCCTGCTGGTCTTGGGGTTGAGCCAGCCTCCAGCACTGCCTCCCTGCCCTGCTGCCTCCCACTCTGCAGTGCTCCATGGCTGCTCAGTTGGACCCACGCTGGAGACGTTCAGTCGAAGCCCCGGGCTGTCCTTACCTCCCAGTCTGGGGTACCTGCCACCTCCTGCTCAGCAGGAATGGGGCTAGGTGCTTCCTCCCCTGGGGACTTCACCTGCTCTCCCTCCTGGGATAAGACGGCAGCCTCCTCCTTGGGGGCAGCAGCATTCAGTCCTCCAGGTCTCCTGGGGGTCGTGACCTGCAGGAGGAATAAGAGGGCAGACTGGGCAGAAAGGCCTTCAGAGCACCTCATCCTCCTGTTCTCACACTGGGGTGTCACAGTCCTGGGAAGTTCTTCCTTTTCAGTTGAGCTGTGGTAACCTTGTGAGTTTCCTGGAGGGGGCCTGCCACTACCCTTGGGACTCCCTGCCGTGTGTCTGGGTCTAACTGAGCTCTGAAAGGAGAGAGCCCCAGCCCTGGGCCTTCCAGGGGAAGCCTTACCTCAGAGGTTGGCTTCTTCCTACTCTTGACTTTGCGTCTCTGCAGAGGGAGGTGGGAGGGGTGACACAACCCTGACACCCACACTATGAGTGATGAGTAGTCCTGCCCCGACTGGCCCATCCTTTCCAGGTGCAGTCCCCCTTACTGTGTCTGCCAAGGGTGCCAGCACAGCCGCCCCACTCCAGGGGAAGAGGAGTGCCAGCCCTTACCCACCTGAGTGGGCACAGTGTAGCATTTATTCATTAGCCCCCACACTGGCCTGACCATCTCCCCTGTGGGCTGCATGACAAGGAGAGAGAACAGGCTGAGGTGAGAGCTACTGTCAACACCTAAACCTAAAAAATCTATAATTGGGCTGGGCAGGGTGGCTCACGCCTGTAATCCCAGCACTTTGGGAGGCCGAGATGGGTGGATCACCTGAGGTCAGATGTTCGAGACCAGCCTGGCCAACATGGTGAAACCCCGTCTCTACTAAAAATACAAAAAATTAGCTGGGCGTGGTGGTGGGTGCCTGTAATCCCAGCTACTCAGGAGGCTGAGGCAGGAGAATTGCTTGAACCTGGGAGGCAGAGGCTGCAGTGAGCCGAGATCGCATCATTGCACTCCAGCCTGGTCAACAAGAGTGAAACTGTCTTAAAAAAAAAATCTATAATTGATATCTTTAGAAAGATAAAACTTTGCATTCATGAAATAAGAATAGGAGGGTCTAAAATAAAAATGTTCAAACACCCACCACCACTAATTCTTGACAAAAATATAGTCTGGGTGCCTTAGCTCATGCCTGTAATCCCAGCATTTTGGGAGGCTAAGGCAGGAGGATTGTTTGAGCCTAGGAATTCAACACCAGCCTGGGCCACCTAAGGAGACCCCATCTCTACAAAAAATTAAAATACTGGCTGGGTGTGGTGGCACACACCTGTAGTTCCAGCTGCTTGGGAGGCTGAGGTGGGAGGATCACTTGAGTCCAGGAACAAAGCTGCAGTGAACTGTGATCGTGCCACTGCACTCCAGCCTGGGCAACAGAGAAAGACCTTGCCTTAAAAATAAAAAATATAATAATAGGAATGCAAAATCTAATCAAAGTATAGAAGCTAAACTTGAAAAAAATATTTTCCAGAAAGAACAGAGAAGAGGTCAGGAGCTCCAACAGCTAAATTGTTGTTTAGATGTTTCTGAAACAGGCAGCAGAGACAACAGACTAGGAGGCAAGGAAAGATGTCTAATAAATACGTTTCTTTTTTGTCAAGACAAGTTCTCACAGAGGAAGAACATGAGTTTCCAGTAGAGAAGGAAACAACAAGTGTTCATGACAATGAATGAAGGGGACCCAGCCCCAATTTTGTTGTCAAGAAATTTCACAACACTGAGGACAGAGTGGAACCCAAAAACTTCCAGAGAGAAAAAAGTCTGAGCTTCAGGAATTCAATATTCATCAGACTTCTCAACACCAACCTTTGAAGCTATAAGATAATGAAGACCTTCAAAATCTGAGAGAAAATATTTCCAATCTAGAATTCTATACCTAGCCAAATGCTATGCAAGTATGAATTGAGGTCTTTTCGGATACATAAATGTCTCAAGACTACCCCTCAGGAAGCAACCGGAGGTTGTACTTCACTAAAATAAAGGAGAAATAGAAAAGAAGATAACATGGGACCCAGCACAACAGGCAGGGAGAGCCCCTGAGCATAAGGGTGAATGGGGAGCTCAGGAGGACAGCTGGGCAGCAGACCTCCAGGGTGCCCCATCCAGATGGAATCAGGGAGATGGAGGGCTCCTGAGGTATGTCTCCATGAAAATGATCATATGGAGAAATGACCTGATCTGTCTAAATGTACTGCAAAGAGATTTCTATTTTTGGCAGAAAATTTGGATGAATTAATTATATAATAGATGCACAAAAAACTAAAGAAAGAGAAGAAGAAAAACTAAAATCATGACTCAACTGGGACTACTGTCTACATTTTTTGTTTTGAGAAAGAGTCTTGCTCTGTTGCCCAGACTGGAGTGCAGTGATCACGTTTCATTGCAGCCTCCACAACCTGTGCTCAAGTAAGTGACTCTCTTACCTCAGCCTCCTTAGTAGCTGGGATCACAGGGCACCACCACACTCAGCTAATTTTTTTTTTTAAATAGACAGTGTCTCCCAATGTTGTCCAGGCTGGTCTCGAAGTCCTGGACTCAAGCGATCCTCCCATGTTGACCTCTCAAGTAGTTGGGATTACAGTCATGAGCCACTGTGCCTTACCTAGCTAATTTTTTTCTGATTTATTTATTTATTTTTTGTACAGAGTCTCACTATGTTGACCAGGCTGGCCTGGAACTTCTGAGCTCAAGTGATCCTCCTGCCTTCGCCTCCCAAAGTGCAGAGATTATAGGTGTAAACTATCACGCCTGGCCTGTTTACATAGTTTAATAATGTAAATCTTCAATACCGATCTAATAAAAATTGAAATATGCCTTTTAGAATGGCTTTCAAAGATAACAAATGCTGGAGAGGATGTAGAACAACTGGAACCTCTCGGTTATTGCTGGTGAGACAGCCGCTTTGAAAAAGTTTGAGTTTCTTACAAAATTAAACTTACACTTACACTTACCATATGACCCAAAAATTCCACTGCTTGCTCTTTACTCAAGTATAAGGAAAATCTATGTACACACAAAACTTGTACGTGAATATTTATTAATAGTCATTTTATGCCCCAAACTAGAAATAGTCCAAATGTTCTGGAACATCCATACAACGGACCACCACTCAATAAAAGGAACAAACTACGGATACACGTGACTAGATGAATCTCAAATGCTTTGTGCTAAGTAAAATAAACCAGACTGAAAAGGCTACCATACGTTTCCATTTATATGACAATCTTGCAAAGTCAAAACCACAGGAACAGGAAACTGTTCACTGATTGCCAGGGTGTGGGAGTAGGAGGAAGGGCTGACTACAGGTGACTATGGAGGATTTTTTTTTTTCTGAGACGGAGTCTCTGTCGCCCAGGCTGGAGTGTACTGGCACGATCTCGGCTCACTGCAACATCCACCTCCTGGGTTTAAGGTATTTTTAGTAGAGACGGGGTTTCACTATGTTGGCCAGGCTGGTCTCAAACTCCTGACCTCAGGTGATCCACCCGCTTCGGCCTCCCAAAGTGCTGGGATTATAGGCGTGAGCCACCGAGGCCAGCCACTT
The DNA here is from genome assembly GCF_000001405.40 of Homo sapiens. Taxonomy (NCBI): domain Eukaryota; kingdom Metazoa; phylum Chordata; class Mammalia; order Primates; family Hominidae; genus Homo; species Homo sapiens. Next base: position 35,576 of record NW_009646207.1, on the reverse strand, counting down.
TTTTTTTTTTTTAAAGACAGAGTCTTGCTGTGTCACTCAGGCTGGAGTGCAGTGGCGTGATCCCAGCTCACTGCAGCCTTAACATCCTGCACTCAAGTGATCCTTCTACCTCAGCTTCCTGAGTAGCTGGGACCACAGGCACACCTCACCACACCCAGCTAATTTTTAATTTTTTTGTAGAGACAGGGTCTATGTTGCCCAGGCTGGTCTTGAACTCCTGGGCTCCACCAATCCTGCCTTGCCCTCCTCACAGTGCCCGGCCCTTAGATTCTCTCTTTAACCTCTAACTCCACCCCGTCTTCCTCACTTTCAGCAGAGAGCATAGGCACCATCAGATGGGCATTTCCTCAACTTGCTGCCACCAAACCCATTCACTCACCGGCTTCTCATAGGCCATTTCCTCTTCCAGGGGAGGAGGGGAGGAGGCTCCCCTCCCTCTCCAAAGCTAGCCCTACTCCTGTGCCCCATTTCATCTGGTCTTCTCACCTGGGCATTTGGAGATCTCGTCTCACCTCAATATTCTCCTTTTCCTTTTTTCTGGCTCCTTCCATCAGCATCTAAACACATTGCTGATCTCTTCTATTAAAAAGAAAAAAGCCCTTCTCCCTTGAACCCATATTCCTTCTCCAGCTAGCGTCCTGACCCCTACCCTTCACACCAGTCTCCTGAGAGCGGTGTTGGCAGGGGGGTGTGTTTACTGCTTTCTACCTCTCCCGCGCTCCACAACCCACTTCAACCTGCATCTGTCTCCATAAGCCTCTGAAACCCCTCTCACTGAGGTCACCAGTACGCTCCTAGTCACCAAACCCAGATGACTCTTTCCTTTTTTTCTTTTTTTTTTTTTTTTTGAGACGGAGTCTCGCTCTGTCGCCCAGGCTGGAGTGCAGTGGCGTGATCTCGGCTCACTGCAAGCTCCGCCTCCCGGGTTCACACCATTCTCTTGCTTCAGCCTCCCGAGTAGCTGAGACTACAGGCGGCCCGCCACGAGGCCCAGCTAATTTTTTTGTATTTACTAGCAGAGGCGGGGTTTCCCCATGTTAGCCAGGATGGTCCTGATCTCCTGACCTCGTGATCCGCCTGCCTCGGTCTTCCAAAGTGCTGGGATTACAGGCATGAGCCACTGCACCCGGCCCCAGCTGACCCTTTCTTTAACGACCTCGCCTTTTCTCTTGGCTGCTTGACCTCTCATGCTCTGGTTTTCCTCCTGCCTCCCACTCCTCTCTCTCTCTATCTCTCAGTCTCTATCTCTGTCTCTCTTTCTGTCTCTGCCTCTCTCAGTCTCTATTTCTGTCTCTGCCTCTCTCAGTCTCTATTTCTGTCTCTGCCTCTCTCTGTGTATCTCTATCTGTCTCTCTCTCTGTATCTCTGTCTCTCTCTGTATCTCTAGCTCTGTCTCTATCTCTGTCTCTGTCTCTGTCTATCTCTCTGTATCTCTAACTCTGTCTCTGTATCTGTTTCTGTCTCTCTATCTCTCTTTGTCTCTCTGTCTCTCTCTGCCTAAATCTCAGTGTCAAGTGTTGCTCCATGTCCTGCTGACGACAAAGACTCTGAACTTCCACCTCAGACACTCACTTCTAGGCCTTTGCATGTGCTGTTATCTACCTAGAATGTGTTTCTCCATGGCTTTCAGGAGGGCTCCCCTGACTACCTGAGTTCACGTGGGGTGGCCCTCCTCAGTGCTCTTAGGGTACTGTACTGTCCCCTGACTGAGGGACCACTTTAGGTCCGTCCACTGTCAAACCCCCAGTAGCTGCCCCTATGCGTGGGACACAGCAAGAGCTAAGTAACCAAATGAATGATTACATGGCTGTGGTTCATCCTAGTGCTTAAAGCCATGATCAGAGTTGAAAAGTTGCTGTATCTTATTCAGATTTCTACTAGCAACATATTCAATAGTAAGCTTTGTTAGTCATCTATAACCCGGTGTAAGTGAAGTTATCAGGTCTTTTTCTGGGAGGAGGTTTAGAGGAGGAAAGGAGAGAGAATGAGTCCTAAAGGAGAGAAGAGGAGTAGAAGGGGCATGTCAAGTAGAAAAGGATGTAGAAAAGGTAGGCTTGGGGTAAAAAGATAATTTTCACCTGCTTGGGTGGTTTATTGAGGGCAGCCTTTTAGGCCTGCTTACCAAAGAGGCCAGTCTTGATGACGCTAGAAATTTGCAGATAATCCTTTTACCATATCAGTGTCAGGCAGCTTATCCACCTCCTCTTGGGCTCTATGACCAAACCCAAGAAGAGCACTGAGGCCCAGCTAAGTCTGGGAGTTCAGTGCACAGGCCCCCCCTTTCGCACAGAGAGTGGTGTCTATGTGTGACATCGTGTCTTAGGGGGGCTTTATGACAGGACAACCTCTTCAACCTTGGCCAGAACAGCTTGTCAAATGCCTCGGGGTGGCTTTAAATCCCCAGTAGTGAGAGACAGCCCCTTTGTACATATCTCATTGTTTCAATTCAGCACAAACAGTGCTGACTGAGCAGCTACAATGTGCCAAGCTCTGTGTGAAGACCCATAGAGACACAAAGATGCAAAAGTGTGTAAGACTCAGTATTTTTTTTTTGTCTTTAAGACTGAGTCTTGATCTGTTGCCCAGGCTGGAGTGCAGTGGCATGATCATGGCTCACTGCAACCTCCACCTCTCAGGTTCAAGAGATTCTCATGCCTCAGGCTACCGAGTGGCTGGGATTACAGGTGTGCATCACCATGCCCAGCTAATTTTTTTGTATTTTTAGTAAAGACAGGGTCTTGTCATGTTGGCCAGGCTGGTCTCAAACTCCTGGCGTCAAGTGATCCACCCGCCTCGGCCTCCCAAAGTATTGAGATTACAGGCGTAAGCCACTGCACCCAGCCAAGACTCAGTCTTACTGCATAACACAATAAGCATATTTTCTAAATCCAAAACAAGAACACAGCCTAACAATTGAATGTCATCTATTCATTCATTCAACCAGTGTCTGCTGAGCTTCCATTTTGGTCCAAGCATTATGCTGAGAGGATCAAAGGTAAACAGGACATACAGCCTACCCTTGAGGAGCTCAAAGACTTCAAACAGACATTTTATGGTTCAAGACAATAACTTCTACCTTCCTGCAAATTTCTGTAAATGTAACAATAATTACAAATCTATGGGTGGTTGAAACTGAGGGATGGATGCCTCAGTTTCACATACACATGAAACATTCACCAAGATAGGCCATATTCTGGACCACGAAACAAATCTCAATGGATTTTAAATTTATTTCAAGTATGTCCTTCAAACACTGTGGAATTAAAAATTACAAATCAGTAACAGATTCCCAGAAAGAGTCTGAGCTCAGACTCACCTAACCCTGCCCCAACCTGACAGTATTTCTCTACCCGCCCTGGTAGCTGATCACAAAAGCCATAAACTCTTGGGAGCTTTATGGCCCTGTCCATCACCTGAGAAATCCTAATACTTATCCTGGCCAACTTAGGGCAAGCTTATATCCCCCTTCCAGTATTGCAGCTGGTGTTCTCTTGAAAGCGCCACCTCCTGGCTGGAGGCCAACCAAGTCAGGACATTACAGCAACTCACAACAGAATAACCCTGCTCCAAGAAATGAGAAACAGCTAATTCCACTGCTTTCAACATCCTGGCTAACCAGAGCTCCTGAGTCTGTCCACGTGACAACTTCACTGCTAGCATAACCAGCATTTGAGAAAGCCAGCACAGTAAACAAAACTACAAGCAAGGACTCTCACACTCACAGTCTACTTTACTCCCCTCCCACCTCCACCAGGGCAGGTGCTGGTGTCCATGGCCAGGAGAGCTAAAGACGGATCACATCACAGGACTCTTTGCAGACATTCCTCAGCACCAGCCTGGAACCTGGTAGCCCCACTGGGTGGCTGGACCCAGAAGAGCAATAGCAATCACTACAGTCTGGCTCTCACGAAGCTCCATCCCTAGGGGAAGTGAGAATGCATCACATCAAGGGGTCACTTTGTGGGACAAAAGAATCTGAACAGTAGCCCCTGAGTTCCAGATTTTTCCCCTGAAATAGTCTACCCAAGTGAGAAGAAATCAGAAAAATTGTAATATGACAAAACAAGGTTCTATAACACCTCCAAAAGACCATACTGGCTCCCCAGCAATGAATGCAAATCAAGAAGAAATCTCTGAATTGCCAGATAAACAATTCAGATGGTTGATTATTAAACTACTCAAGGAGAGACCAGAGAAAAGTGAAAACAAAGAAATGTAAAAAACAATACAGGCTATGGATTGGCCAGGCGCAGTGGCTCACACCTGTAAACCCAGCACTTTGGAAGGCTGAGGCGGGCTGATCACTTGAGGTCAGGAGTTTCAGACCAGCCTGGCCAACACAGTGAAACCCCATCTCTACTAAAAATACAAAAATCAGCCAGGCATGGTGGTGCGTGCCTGTAATACCAGCTATTTGGGAGACTGAGGCAGGGGGATTGCGTGAACCCAGGAGCCAGAGGTTGCAGTGAGCTGAGATTGCACCACTGCACTGTGAGCAACAGAGTGCTCAGAGTCTCAAAAAGGAAAGAAAGAAAGAAAGAAAAAGACAACAAAAAAAATACAGGCTATGGATGAAAAATTCTCCAGAGAAACAGATATTATAAAGAAAAAAAAATCACAATTTCTGCAAATGGAAGACACACTTAAAGAAATAAAAAATGCACTGGAAAGTGTCAACAACAGACTAGAACAAGTATGTAGGATACAATAAAATTCCTCTTCAAAGGTTTAGCCTGTTAACTTCCTTGTTCTTTGTTCTCAAACTCAACTTTCTTGTTCTCTATGCCTCCTTGCCCCTAGTTACTGTAACTGTAAACAACCTTCCTGTCAGTTCTAATCAATAACTCACATCTGTTCCCTTGGTTACCCACTCTTCACCCCTTCCTCCCTTCGAAACCGCACGTCCCACCACTGTAACTCACATTTCCCTTCCCTTCCTTATTTGGGAAAGTATTCACAAATAGCCAGTCGGGTCAGTTTAGATTGTGCAGTCCAACCACAGCCCATGAAGGAGTGACACAGAGGGAGGGATTGCATTAGGAATAAAAACCCCTGCTTTCCTTTGTTCAGTGTGCTCTTGCAATCGTGATTGACACAAGCAGCACCCTTCTGCAGAAGTAAACTGCCTTGCTGAGAAAACTTTCGCCTCAGTGCTGGTTTCACTTTGCAGCACTGAGCATTTATCTCCAACAAATCTGGGGCTCATCCAGGATTCCCATTCTCCTCCAGGGAAGGGGTCTCTGGTCACCTCTCATAAGGAGACGCATCCCACTGCCTCGTTGCGGTGGCCTCAGGGTGAGGGATCGGAACCCACCCGGTGTGACGAATAAATCCGGACTCTCAGCAATGTGGGGAAAAAAAGGCTTGCAACACCATGGTGACCAGGTAACTTTGTGCACAGACCAAGGTAAGAAACGTCACAGGGGTGACAAAGCATTTCCTTGGTGGTCAAGATATTCTGGAGATTGAAAGTGTGTATGAATGATCACAAGCATTACTGCTTGCGGTGCTGCTTGTGTGAATGGTACTAAGCACTACTGCTGTGCGGAATGAGTGTGTCCTATCTGAGGTTCCATGGTCACCTCATATGGCTTAGGACAGATCCTGCCATGGGGTTTATATGGGCGTGCCAAAGGTAAGAGGGACCTAAATTCCCCTCCGGGAAGCGACCAGAGTGGACGAAGCAAAAGAAGGGTGCAAGGAGCCTCCAGCAGGTGGGGCTAAAGGATAGAAATCTCTAGTATGAGGAATTGAGCCTCAATAAGCCTCCAGAAAAGGAGAGGCAAGAAATCTCTAATACGAGGGATTGAGCCTCAGCAAGCCTCCAGAAAAGGATAGGCAAGAAATCTCTAATATGAGGGACTGAGCCTAACTAGGACCCAACATGGGAAACACCCCAAGCAGGACACGGAGTAAAAAGGATAAAGACAGCAATAAAGATATTCCTGCTGTTAGTCCCCTAGGTCTCATGTTAAAATATTGGAAAGATAATGAGAGAACTAAACATAAGAAAAAGCAACAAATGACAAACAATTGCTGTTTTATTTGGACTCAGGGACCCATCCTCAAACCCTCAATCTTTTGGTCAAAGTTTGGGTTGAACAAGGATGTGATGTGTCAACTTCTAATTCAATATGTAAATGATAAAAGTCCAGTTTCTCAAGAAGAATTGGCCTATGCTCTTTGTTGGAGGCAGGGACCTGTCCTCCTCTTTCCCTTAAAGACAACTAGGGAAAAACCCAATCTAGCACCTCAAACTGAAGAGTGAGAAAAGCCAGTCCCCATGCCTAAAGACTCCAGCACATGGGATCCTCTAAACCATCTTCCCCCACGCTCAGTGCCCCTAACCCTTCCCCTCAGGTAGCAGCTGCTGTCCCCGTTCCTGCTCCAGATCCTTCTCCTGCTCATGTTATTCCTCCTCCTTACAATCCTGATTCTTGGGAATCACCATCCCATTAGCCTGTTCCTTCTCAGCCTAAGTACCCCTCCCTAAAAGGACTCCAACGTGAGGTAGAACAATGTAAAAAAGATATCCAAAATTTCCCATTTCCCTCCACATCTATGGAGTCAGCCCCAACTCTCTTCCCCTTAAAAGAGGTGCCACAAGGACAGGGGGGCTATTAATTTTGTGAATGCTCCCTTAACCAGTTCAGAGGTCTGAAGTTTGAAGAAGGAACTTAAGCCGTTATTGGATGACCTTATTGGGTAACAGATCAGGTTGATCAATTCTTAGGACCTCAGTTATACACTTGGGTGGAGTTAATGTCCATCCTAGGCGTCCTCTTTTCTTTTTTTTTTTTTTTTTTTTTGAGACGGAGTCTCGCTCTGTCGCCCAGGCGGGACTGCGGACTGCAGTGGCGCAATCTCGGCTCACTGCAAGCTCCGCTTCCCGGGTTCACGCCATTCTCCTGCCTCAGCCTCCCGAGTAGCTGGGACTACAGGCGCCCGCCACTGCGCCCGGCTAATTTTTTTTGTATTTTTAGTAGAGACGGGGTTTCACCTTGTTAGCCAGGATGGTCTCGATCTCCTGACCTCATGATCCACCCGCCTCGGCCTCCCAAAGTGCTGGGATTACAGGCGTGAGCCACCGCGCCCGGCCTGCGTCCTCTTTTCAGGGGAGGAAAGAAGCATGATCTGTAGGGCTGCTATGGCAATTTGGGAACACGAACACCCTCCTGGTCAAACATTCCTACCGCAGATCAAAAGTTTCCCACCCAAGACCCCCGGTGGGACGATATTAATGCAGCTCACTGGGAAAATATGCAAGACCTAAGGGAAATGATAATAAAGGGAATTAGGGAATCAGTACCCTGAACCCAAAACCTCTCTAAAGCATTTGATATACAATAGGAAAAAGATGAGGGGGCCTATGAAATTTCTAGACAAGAATAAAGGACCAAACAAGACAATATGCAGGCCTAAATTTGGAAGATCTCCTTGGACAGGGAGTGTTAAAGCTCCATTTTGTCACTACAAGTTGGCCAGATATTTCAAAAAAGTTACAAAAATTAGAAGACTGGGAAAACCAACCTCTAAGTGAACTTCTGGGAGAAGCTCAAAAAATATATGTGAGGAAAGAAGCAAAAACAAAAGGCAAAAACTCACGTTATCCACTTTCCAGCAGGTGGCCCCACACCCACATGCTTCTAAACAAAGCTTCCAGGGGGCCAGAAACGATAGACGGTCCAGACCCTCATTTATGCTTCTAAACAAAGCTTCCAGGGGGCCAGAAACTATAAAAGGTCCAGACCCTCGTTTATGCTTCTAAACAAAGCTTCCAGGGGGCCAGAAACTATAAAAGGTCCAGACCCTCATTTATGCTTCTAAACAAAGCTTCCAGGGGGCCAGAAACTATAAAAGGTCCAGACCCTCGTTTATGCTTCTAAACAAAGCTTCCAGGGGGCCAGAAACTATAAAAGGTCCAGACCCTCGTTTATGCTTCTAAACAAAGCTTCCAGGGGGCCAGAAACTATAAAAGGTCCAGACCCTCGTTTATGCTTCTAAACAAAGCTTCCAGGGGGCCAGAAACTATAAACGGTCCGTCCAGACCGTTTGAAGGGCAGGCCACTTCAAAAGAGAATGTCCCAAACTGGAAAAGGAGAAAGAAGCCCTTCAACTCATGACTTTTGAGGAAGAACAGGGGGGTCAGGGGCTCTGTTTATCTCGAGTCCCACCAGGAGCCCTTGATAAATTTACAGGTGGGAACCAAACATGAGCTTATCACCTTTTAGTCAATTCAGGAGTGGCTCGCTCCTCCATTTGCTTCCCCCCATCCAACATTGCCTGCTCTTCAGAAGAACTTTTAGTCTCTGGGGTAAAAGGAGAAGGATTTAAAGCAAAAATCTTAGAAAGTACAGAAGTTAAATACCAAGATCGGCTGACTCATATCCAATTTTTGTTGATCCCTGAGGCAGAAACTAATCTATTAGGAAGAGACTTAATGCTAGAATTAGGCACAGGCTTACAAGTTGGTCCTAAAGGATTCTTTACCTCATTAAACCTACTCACCACCACAGATGAAAAATGCATTAATCCTAGTGTCTGGTCAAGGGAAGGAAACCGGGAGAAACTCTGAATCCCTCCAATCCACATCAAGTTAAGAATCCCCAGGGAAGTAGTAAGGAGGAAACAATACCCCAAACCCCTAGAGGGCAGGATAGGATTAAAGCCTATAATTGAAAGTCTTATTAAAGATGGGCTCCTTGAACCCTGTATGTCCCCGTATAACACTCCAATATTGCCAGTCAAGAAATTAGATGCGTCATACCGACTTGGTACAAGATCTTAGAGCCATCAAATAGTCCAAACTAACCATCCTGTTGTCCCCAACCCATACACCATTCTCAGCAAAATTCCAAAAAACCATCAGTTGTTTACAGTAATAGATTTAAAAGATGCCTTCTGGGCATGCCCCTTGGCTGAAGACAGCTGAGACATATTTGCTTTTGAGTGGTAGGATCCCCATTCAGGGCGAAAACAACATTATTGATGGACAGTTTTACCTCAAGGGTTTACAGACTCTCCAAACCTTTTTGGTCAAATTTTAGAACAAGTGTTAGAAAAAGTTGTCATCCCAAAGCAAATATGCCTGCTCCAGTACATGGATGATATTCTCGTATCTGTTGAAGATGTAGAGAAAGTAGCTGGCTTCTCTACACATATCCTTAACCATCTGGAGTTCGAGGGGTTATGGTTCTTAAAGGGAAAGCTTCAGTATGTGGAGCCTGAAGTTAAATATTTAGGCCACTTAATAAGTGCAGGTAAGCAAAGGATAGGACCTGAACGAGTTGAAGGCATCGTGTCCTTACCCTTGCCTCAAACTAAGCAATAACTCAGAAAATTTCTAGGATTAGTTGGATATTGATGCTTATGGATTGACTCATATGCCCTAAAAAGTAAACTTTTATATGAAAAGCTTACCCAGTGGAAACTGGACCGTCTCCTGTGGACTTCTGAGGAAGTCAATCAGGTTGAAGAGCTGAAATACAAACTCATAACTGCCCCTGTCTTAGCCTTAGCTTCCCTAGAAAAGCCATTTCATCTTTTTGTTAATGTAAATAACGGGGTAGCTTTAGGGGTTCTTACTCAAGAACATGGTGGTCACCGGCAGCCCGTAGCCTTCCTATCAAAAATTTTAGACCCAGTCACCTGTGGGTAGCCTCAGTGCATCCAATTCGTTGCAGCTACAGCAGTATTAGTTGAAGAAAGTAGAAAATTAATCTTTGGGGGGAAATTGACTGTAAGCACACCCCACCAAGTTAGAGCTATTTTAAATAAAAAAGCAGGAAGGTGGCTCACTGACTCCAGAATCTTAAAATAGGAGGCTATTTTACTAAAAAGATGATTTAACCTTGACTACTGATAACTCACTCAATCCGAGAGGTTTCTTAACAGGGGACCCAAATCTAAAAAGAGAACACTTATGTCTAGATCTAACTGACTACCAAACAAAGGTCAGGCCGGATCTAAGAGAGACCCCTTTCAAAATGGGGTGACACTTATTTATAGATGGTTGATCCCAAGCAATTAAAGGAGAAAAATACAATGGGTATTCAGTAATTGATGGAGAAACTCTTGAAGAAACAGAGTCAGGAAGGTTGCCCAATAGTTGGTCTGCCAAAGCATGTGAACTATTTGCACTCAGCCAGGTTTTAAAACACTTACAGAGCAAGGAAGGAACTATTCATACTGATTCTAAATACATTTTTGGAGTAGCTCATATATTTGGAAAAATTTGGGCTGAGCAAGGTCTTATTAATACTAAAGGCCAGGCCAGGCGCGGTGGCTCATGCCTGTAATCCCAGCACTTTGGGAGGCTGAGGTGGGCGGATCACGAGGTCAGGAGATCAAGACCATCCTGGCTAACATGGTGAAACCCCGTCTCTACTAAAAATACAAAAAAATTAGCCAGGTGTGGTAGCGGGATCCTGTAGTCCCAGCTACTCAGGAGGCTGAGGCAGGAGAATGGCGTGAACCCGGGAGGTGGAACTTGCAATGAGCTGAGATCGTGCCACTGCACTCCAGCCTGGGTGACAGAGCAAGACTCCGTCTCAAAAAAACACCAAAAAACAAAAAAAAACTAAAGGCCAAAATATCTTACCCACGAGGAGCTAATCGTCCATGTTTTAAACAATCTCCAGTTGCCAGAAGAAATAGCCATTGTACATGTCCCCGGACACCAAAACGACTTTTCCTTTACAAGTCAGGGAAATAACCTTGCAGATCAAGTGGCTAAACAGGCTGCCATTTCATCTGAAACACCTTTCACTTAACCCCTCGTCTTCCTCCCCCTGCTGCAACCCCTACCTTGTCTGCTGCAGAAAAGGAAAAATTAATAAAAATGGAGCCAAAGAAAACTCAGAAGGAAAATGGGTGTTACCAGATCAAAGAGAAATGCTATTCAAACCGCTCATGAGAGAAATCCTACCCACCTGCATCAAGGGACACACTGGGGACCCCAAGCCATGTGTGACACAGTTCTCAGGGTTTATGGGTATATACCCTAGCCAAACAGGTTATGGATAGTTGCTTAACATGTAAGGAAACCAACAAACAAGTTATAAAGAAATCATCCCTGGGCGGGGAGGGATTCAGGGCTAAGACCATTCCAAAGTGTTCAAACTGATTACATTGAAATGCCCCCAATCGGTTGCCTAAAGTACTTAGTAATAGCAGATCACCTCACTCACTGGGTCGAAGCTATTCCCTTTTCAAATGCAATGGCCAATCATGTAGTTAAAGCATTAATTGAAAATATAGTGCCCAGGTTTGGGCTAATAGAAAATATTGACTCAGACAGTGAAACCTATTTCATAGCACATATCATTAAAAAGCTATCCTAAGCGCTAGACATTAGATGGAAATATCATACTCCTTGGCACCCACCTTCATCAGGGAGAGTAGAAAGGATGAATCAGACCTTAAAGAACCATTTAACCAAGTTAGTTCTATAGATTCGGTTGCCAGGGATCAAATATCTTCCTATTGCCCTGTTAAGAATCCAAACGGCGGTTCCACCGCTGTCGCCGCCGTAGTGCGGCATGCCGCTCGGCGGAGGGGCCGGGCCTGCGTTCTCTCCTCCTTCCTCCCCGCCTCTGGCTGCCGGCAGGACCTTTCTCTCGCTGCTACTGGGACCCCGTGTCATAGCCCAGGCTGAGCACGATGCCCCCTCAAAAGGGAGGTGATGGAATTAAACCACCCCCAATCATTGGAAGATTTGGAACCTCACTGAAAATTGGTATTGTTGGATTGCCAAATGTTGGGAAATCTACTTTCTTCAATGTATTAACCAATAGTCAGGCTTCAGCAGAAAACTTCCCATTCTGCACTATTGATCCTAATGAGAGCAGAGTACCTGTGCCAGATGAAAGGTTTGACTTTCTTTGCCAATATCACAAACCAGCAAGCAAAATTCCTGCCTTTCTAAATGTAGTGGATATTGCTGGCCTTGTGAAAGGAGCTCACAATGGGCAGGGCCTGGGGAATGCTTTTTTATCTCATTTTAGTGCTTGTGATGGCATCTTTCATCTAACACGTGCTTTTGAAGATGATGATATCACACATGTTGAAGAAAGTGTAGATCCTATTCGAGATATAGAAATAATACATGAAGAGCTTCAGCTTAAAGATGAGGAATGACTGGGCCCATTATAGATAAACTAGAAAAGGTGGCTGTGAGAGGAGGAGATAAAAAACTAAAACCCAAATATGATATAATGTGCAAAGTAAAATCCTGGGTTATAGATCAAAAGAACCTGTTCGCTTCTATCATGATTGGAATGACAAAGAGATTGAAGTGTTGAATAAACACTTATTTTTGACTTCAAAACCAATGGTCTACTTGGTTAATCTTTCTGAAAAAGACTACATTAGAAAGAAAAACAAATGGCTGATAAAAATTAAAGAGTGGGTGGACAAGTATGACCCAGGTGCCTTGGTCATTCCTTTTAGTGGGGCCTTGGAACTCAAGTTGCAAGAATTGAGTGCTGAGGAGAGACAGCAGTATCTGGAAGCGAACATGACACAAAGTGCTTTGCCAAAGATCATTAAGGCTGGGTTTGCAGCACTCCAACTAAAATACTTTTTCACTGCAGGCCCAGATGAAGTGCGTGCACGGACCATCAGGAAAGGGACTAAGGCTCCTCAGGCTGCAGGAAAGATTCACACAGATTTTGAAAAGGGATTCATTATGGCTGAAGTAATGAAATATGAAGATTTTAAAGAGGAAGGTTCTGAAAATGCAGTCAAGGCTGCTGGAAAGTACAGACAACAAGGCAGAAATTATATTGTTGAAGATGGAGATATTATCTTCTTCAAATTTAACACACCTTAACAACTGAAGAAGAAATAAAATTTAGTTACTGCTCAGATAAACATACAACTTCCAAAAGGCATCTGATTTTTTAAAAATTAAAATTTCTGAAAACCAATGGGACAAATAAAGTTGGGGAGATGGGAATCTTTGACAAACAAATTATTTTTGTTTTAAAATTAAAATACTGTGTACCCTCTCCCCCCAATGAAATGCAAGTTCACTAAATGTGAACACCTTTGCTTTTCATGTGATTAAGACCCTACTCCAAATTATAGAAGCTTTTCAAGAACCATGTTACTCTCATGATACTTCATTAATCTCCATCATGTATGCCAAGCCTAACACATTTGACAGTGAGAACAATGTGGCTTGCTCCTTTTTGAATCTACAGATAATGCATGTTTTATAGTACTCCAGATGTCTACACTCAATAAAACATTTGACAAAACCAAATAAAAAAAAAAGAATCCAAACTGCTCCTCGAAAAGATACTGGCCTTTCCCCTTACAAGATGCTCTATGGATTGCCTTATTTACACTCCACTGCTGATGTTCCAAAAACACCAGTTCCTCAGGAATTATATTCTTAGTCTCTCCCCTACTTTCTCTTTTCTTAAAACCAAAGGTCTCCTAGCACAGGCTCTGCCTCTGGAGTTCCCAGTACATCAACATCAGCCTGGGGATCACGTCCTTATCAAGAGCTGAAAAGAGGAGAAACTTGAGCCAGCCTGGGAAGGACCTTACCTGGTGCTTCTAACCACTGAAACTGCAGTCCGGACAGCAGAAAAAGGATAGACCCATCACACCTGAGTCAAGAAAGCACTGTCACCTCCAGAGTCATGGGCCATTATCCCAGGGGAAAACCCCCTCAAACTAAAGCTAAGAAAAGTTTAACTCTCTTTCGTCTACTCTATTACTCTTTCTTCTTTCCTCATTCTGTTGCTGACCACCTTGTTATCAATGTGACTAAATCAAACTCACCCCAAGTTATTATGTTTGATGCCTGTTTAGTCATACCCTGTAGAGATCTCCAAAGTCAAAGGCAACTCTCAGCCTTAGAAAAGTATCTCTGCCACTTTAAAATAAAAGGCTCCCGCTACCAAGACTCTTGCTCCTCATAAAATATAGGGAAACAGGTCTGCCATAGCTGGAATGATGTTCTGTGGACAACTGAGTATCAAGGCTGGACCTCATCAACATGTGGCTGTATATACTTAAAATCATACATTCACTTTACTAAAGGAAGCACCCCTCCCCTCGATTTTCAGTATAACCAGTGTAATCCAGTGCAGATTTCTACTCTCACTCCGGCCTCTACCGACCCTCTAGACCTACTTTGAGTCGCTTCTATGGCATAGGGACCAACGCGGCACAGACCTCATAGGGTCTTTTGAAATGCGTTTTATTAATCCCTCATCCTCTTCACCCTCTTCCCTCTCTTCTCCTTCTAAGCCTTCTTCTAATCAGACTGCCATACCTTCTATACCCAATGATAAGACTAAAGTAGATATTGTAGAAGTAAATGATCTAAGGCAAACTTTAGCAATTGAAACAAAATATCAAGATGCAAATGCCTGGTTGGAATGGACCAAATATTCTGTCCGCACATGAAACAAAAGCAATTGTTATGCTTGTGCTCACGGCCAGCCAGAGACCCAGATAGACCCCTTTACACTCGGCTGGTCCCCCAGTCAACCAGGCATGGGCAGCATGGTAGCTCTCTTCCAGGATTCCATAGCTTGGGGCAATCAATCATGCCAAGCTCTCTCTTTGCTCTATCCCAAAGTTCAATATCCTGCGGGTCAGCCCCAGAGGGCCATCCAGCTTCTGGCTCCCAATGTCAATTTCACGTCCTGTCTCTCACGACAAGGGGAAAACTTGGTGTTCCTTGGAAGCTTAACAGGATGCAGTGAGCTTAAGCCTTTCCAAGAGCTTACCCATCAGTCTGCCCTTAGTCATCCTCAAGAAGATGTATGGTGGTATTGTGGCGGACCCTTACTGGACACTCTGCCAAGTAACTGGAGTGGTACCTGCACTCTTGTCCATTTGGCTATCCCTTTCACCCTGGCGTTTCATCAGCCAGAAAAAGAAAAGCCACAACACCATAAAATAAGAGAAGCCCCTTATAGGTTTTTTGACTCTCAAGTTTATTTAGATGCAACTGGAGTCCCATGGGGAGTACCTGATAAATTAAAAGCCCGGGACCAAATAGTCTGCAGGATTTGAATCAATATTTCCATGGGTAACTATTAATAAAAATGTAGACTGTATAAATTACATCTATTATAACCAACAGCAGTTTATTAATTATACCAGGGATGCTGTCAAAGGAATAGCTGAGGAGTTAGGGCTGACTAGCCAGATGGCTTAGGAAAACAGAATGGCCCTAGGCATGATACTAGCTGAAAAAGGTAGAGTTTGTGTTATGATTAAAACTCAGTGTCGTACCTTCATCCCAAACCATACTGCCCCAGATGGGAGCATAACAAAAGCCTTACAAGGACTTACCATTTTATCTAATGAATTAGCTAAAAATTCTGGAGTCAATAACCCTTCTTCAGGATGGCTAGACAGGTGGTTTGGTAAATAGAAAGGAATCATAGCCTCAATTCTTACTTCTCTTGCAGTCATAATAGGTGTACTCATTCTTGTTGGGTGTTGTGTCACACCATGCAACCATGGGCTAGTACAAAGGCTTATAGAAACAGCACTTACTAAAATCTCCCTTAGCTCTCCTCCACCTTATTCAGATAAGCGTTTCCTTTCAGACGATCAAGTCAAACAGCAAAGCCAAGACATCTTAAAAAGGTTTGAAGAGGAAGAACTATAAAAATTAAAAGGGGGAAATTGTAGGATACAATAAAATTCTTCAAAGGTTTAGCCTGTTAACTTCCTTGTTCTTTGTTCTCAAACTCAACTTTCTTGTTCTCTATGCCTCCTTGCCCCTAGTTACTGTAACTGTAAACAACTTTCCTGTCAGTCCTAATCAATAACTCACATCTGTTCCCTTGGTTACCCACTCTTCACCCGTTCCTCCCTTTGAAACCGCACATCCCACCATTGTAACTCACATTTCCCTTCCCTTCCTTATTTGGGAAAGTATTCACAAATAGCCAATTGGGTCAGTTTAGATTGTGCGGTCCAACCACAGCCCATGGAGGAATGACAAAGAGGCAGGGACTGCATTAGGAATAAAAACCCCTGCTTTCCTTTGTTCAGTGTGCTCTTGCAATCGTGATTGACACAAGCAGCACCCTTCTGCAGAAGTAAATTGCCTTGCTGAGAAAATTTTTGCCTGAGTGCTGGTTTCGCTTTGTGGCACTGAACATTTATCTCCAACAAGTAGAAGAAAGAACTTCAGAGCTTGAAGACAAAGCATTTGAAGTAACTCAACCAGACAAAGACAAATAAAAAAGAATTTTTTTTTTTTGAGACAGTCTCGCTCTGTTGCCCAGGCTGGATGGAGTGCAGTGGCGTGATCTCGGCTCACTGCAAGCTCTGTCTCCTGGGTTCATAGCATTCTCCTACCTCAGCCTCCTGAGTAGCTGGGACTACAGGCGACCGCCACCACACCTGGCTTATTTTTTGTATTTTTAGTAGAGATGGGGTTTCACCGTGTTAGCCAGGATGGTCTCGATCTCCTGACCTTGTGATCTGCCTGCCTCGGCCTCCCAAAGTGCTGGGATTACAGGCGTGAGCCACTGCGCCCGGCGAATATGAATTTTTAAAAATGAACAAAGCTTCCAAGAAATTTGGGATTACGTTAAACAGCCAGACCTAAGAATAATTGGTGTTCCTCAGGAAGAAGAGAAATCTAAACATTTAGAAAGCTTATTGGAGGGAATAATCAAGGAAAAGTTCCTTGCTCTCACCAGAGATCTAAACATCTAAATACAAGAAGCTGAAAGAACACCTGAAAAATTCATTGCAAAAAGATAATTACCTAGGCACACAGTCATCAGGTTATCTAAAGTCAAGATGAAGGGAAACATCTTAAGAGCCATGAGGCAAAAGCATCAGGGAACCTACAATGGAAATCCTATCAGATTAACAGCAGATTTCTCAGCAGAAACCCTATAAGCCAGAAGGGATTGGGGTCCTATCTTTAGCCTCCTCAAACAAAATAATTGCCAGCCAAGAATTTTGTATCCAGCAAAACTATGCTTCATAAATGAGGAGAGATAAAGTCTTTTTCAGACAAACAAATGCTGAGAGAATTTGCCACTAGCAAGCCAGCACTACAAGAAATGTCAAAAGGAGTTCTAAATCTTGAAACAAAAATAGAACCTCCTTTAAGTATATGTTTTAAAAGGCTTATAAAACAATAACACAATTTAAAAAAGCACAACTATCACTATGAATAAAACACTATCTCATAATTCAATACCAACATTGAATGTAAATGGCCTGAATGCTCCACTTAAAAGACACAGAATGGATAAAATTCACCAACCAACCATCTGCTGTCTTCAAGAGACTCATCTAATGCATAGGGACTCACATAAACTTAAGGTAAAGGGGTAGAAAAAGATACTGCACGCAAATGGAAACCAAAAGCAAGTACGAGTAGCTATTCTTTTTTTTTTTTCTTTGAGATGGAGTCTCGCTCTGTTGCCCAGGCTGGAGTGCAGTGGCACGATCTCGGCTCACTGCAACCTCTGCCTCCTGGGTTCAAACAATTCTCCTGCCTCAGCCTCCCAAGTAGTTGGGACTACAGGCATGCGCCACCATGCCCAGCTAAATTTTTTGTATTTTTAGTAGAGACAGGGTTTCACCATGTTAGCCAGGATGGTCTCAATCTCCTGACCTCATGATCTGCCTGCCTTGGCCTCCCAAAGTGCTAGGATAATAGATGTGAGCTGGCCAAGAGTAGCTATGTTTTTTTGTTTTTGTTTTTTTTTCTGAGACTAAGTCTTGCTCTGTCACCAGGCTGGAATGCAGTGGCGCTAACTTGGCTCACTGCAACCTCTGCCTCCTGAGTTCAAGCAATTCTCCTGCCTCAGCCTCCCGAGTAGCTGGGACTACAGGGGCATGCCACCACACCAAGCTAATTTTTGTATTTTTAGTAGAGATGGGGTTTCACAATGGTGGCAAAGATGATCTCAATCTCCTGACCTCGTGATCCACCTGTCTCAGCCTCCCAAAGTGCTGGGATTACAGGCATGAGCCATCATGCCTTGCCGAGTAGCTATTCCTATATCACACAAACAGACTTTAAAGCAACAACGGTTAAAAAAAAGACAAAAAGGGGCCAGGCGTGGTAGCTCACACCTGTAAACCCAGCACTTCGGGAGGCCAAGGCGGGTGGATCATGAGGTCAGGAGATCGAGACCATCCTGGCTAACATGGTGAAACCCCGTCTCTACTAAAAAAATACAAAAAAATGAGCTGGGCATGGTGGTGGGTGCCTGTAGTCCCAGCTACTCTGGAGGCTGAGGCAGGAGAATGGTGTGAAGCCGGGAGGTGGAGCTTGCAGTGAACCGAGATTGCGCCACTGCACTCCAGCCTGGGCAACAGAGTGAGACTCTGTCTCAAAAAAAAAAAAAAAAAAAAAAAAAGACAAAAAGGGACATTACATAACGATAAAAGATCAGTCCAGCCGGGCGCAGTGGCTCACACCTGGAATCCCAGCACTTTGGGAGGCTGAGACGGGCGGATTACGAGGTCAGGAGATCAAGACCATCCTGGCTAACATGGTGAAACCCCGTCTCTACTAAAAATACAAAAAAATTAGCCGGGTGTGGTGGTGGGCACCTGTAGTCCCAGCTACTCGGGAGGCTGAGGCAGGAGAATGGCATCAATCCAGGAGGCGGAGCTTGCAGTGAGATGAGAGCTGAGATCACGCCACTGCACTCCAGGCTGGGCAGACAGAGCGAGACTCTGTCTCAAAAAAAAAAAAAAAATCAGTCCAACAGGAAAATATCACAATCCTAAATACATATGCACCTTAATGGGCCAGGCACAGTGGCTCACACCTGTAATCCCAGCACTTTGGGAGGCTGAGGCAGGCGGATCACTTGAGTTCAGGAGTTCGAGTCCAGCCTGACCAACACGATGAAACCCCATCTCTACTAAAAATACAAAATTTAGCTGGGCATGGTGGCAAGCACCTGTACTGCCAGCTACTCGGGAGGCTCAGGCAGGGAAATCACTTGAACCCAGGAGGCAGAGGTTGCAGTGAGCCAAGATCACGCCACTGCACTCTAGCCTGGGCAACAGACCAAGACTCCATCTCAAAAACAAACAAACAACAAAAAAAAAACAGGTAAAGATGATACAGATTAACATCCTCATAAACACAGATGCAAATATTAACAAAATCTTATCACATTGAAAATAATATGTAAATATATACAACATTATCTATAGCATTTACTCCCAGGAATGCAAGGTTGGTTCAACATTCAAAAACCAATAAATGAAATTAACCATATTAACAGACAGAAAAAGAAAAATTCCATGATTATATCAATAGATGCATAAAATATATTTCACAAAATCAACATCTGAACCTCAAAGAAAAGAAAATTCCCAGCAAACGAGGAATTCATGGAAACATTTTCAATCCGATGAGGGGTATCTACGAAAAACCTACAGCTAGCAACATACTCAATGGTAAAATACTAAATGCTTTGTTCCTAAGTTCAGAAATGTCTTTATTTATTTATTTATTTATTTATTTATTTATTTTGAGACAGACTTTCACTCTTGTCACCCAGGCTGTAGTGTAAGGGCACAATCTTGGCTCACTGCAACCTCCGCCTCCCAGGTTTAAGTGATTCTCCTACCTCAGCCACCTGAATAGCTAGGATTACAGGTGCCTGCCGCCACGCCCAGCTAATTTTTGTATTTCTAGTAGAAACGGGGTTTCACCATGTTGGCCAGGCTGGTCTCAAATTCCTGATCTCAGGTGATCCACCCACCTTGGCCTCCCAAAGTATTGGCATTACAGACATGAGCCACCACAGCTGGCCAGGAATGTCTTAATTTAAGGCAAAAAAAGTCTGCCCTCATTGCTTTTTTTTTTGAGGCAGAGTCTCGTTCTGTCACCTAGGCTGGAGTGCAATGGCATGATCTCAGCTCACTGCAACCTCTGCCTCTCAGGTTCAAGCGATTCTCCTGCCTCAGCCTCCCAAGTAGCTGGAATTATAGGTGTGCACCATCACGCCAAGCTAAGTTTTGTATTTTTAGTAGAGATGGGGTTTCACCATGTTGGCCAGGCTGGTCTCGAACTCCTGACCTCAGGTGATCCGCCTGCCTCGGCCTCCCAAAGTGCTGGGATTACATGCATGAGCCACCACACCCGGTCTACCCTCATCACTTCTGTATGATATTGTGCTAGAAGCTCTAGCCAGTGAACAAGTCAAAAAAGAGAAGTAAAAGGCAATCAGATTGGAAAGAAAGAAATAAAACTGTATTTTCAAATAACATGATTGTGTGTAAAATCCTGTGGGATCATCCAAAAAGCAACTACAGCTTAACAAGGCTGAAGGATGCAAGATCACTGTATTAAAATCAATTATATTGCTATATAATAGGAATAAACAATTGGGAATTAAAACTTCTTAAAAACCAGTTATAACAGCATCCAAAATATAAAATACATAGACAAAAAATATAACAAAAGCTACATGCAAAATCATACACTAATAACTACAAAACATTGCTGAGAGAAATTAAAGACGATGTAAATCAATGAAGAGCCATACCATGGTCATGAATCAGAAGACTCAACATTTTAAAGATGTCAGTTCCTCTCAAATTAATCTATAGATTCAGTGTAATCAATAAAAATTCCAGCAATTTTCTTGTTGAAATTGATTGCTTTTTCTAAAATTCATAGAGGAATGCAACTCAGGCCGGGCAAAGTGGCTCATGCCTGTAATCCCAGCACTTTGAGAGGCCAAGTCAGGTTGGTTGCTTGAGTCCAGGAGTTCGAGACAAGCCTGGGCAACGTGGTTAAACCCTGTCTCTACAAAAAGTACAAAAATTAGCTGGGTGTGGTGGTGCATGCCTGTAATTCCAGCTACCCGGGAGCCTGAGGCAGGAGAATCTTTTGAACCTGGGAGGCAGAGGTTGCAGTGCACCGAGATCGTGCCACTGCACTTCAGCCTGGGCGACAGAGTGAGACTCCATCTCAAAAAAAAAAAATACAGTTATGAACATGTTGAAAAAATAAAAAAGAGTCTCAGCATAGAAATAGGAGATATAAGGAAGAATCAGATAGAAATTTTAGAAATAGAAAATACAACAACGAAATAAAAAGCTCAGTGAATGGGCTCAAAAGTGGAAAAGAGGACAACACAAGCAGTTAACTGGAAGACAGGACAACAGAAATTACTCAATCTGAACAACAGAGAGAAAATGGACTGGAAAAAGTAAACAAGAAAGAAAAGAGAAAATAAAAGAGGCCGGTACAGTGGCTCATGCCTGTAACCCCAGCACTTTGGGAGGCTGAGGTGGGTGGATCATGAGGTCAGGAGATCGAGACCATCCCTGGCTAACACGGTGAAACCCCGTCTCTGCTAAAAATACAAAAACGAAATTAGCCGAGCATGGTGGTGGGCACCTGTAGTCCCAGCTACTCGGGAGGCTGAGGCGGGAGAATGGTGTGAACCCGGGAGGCAGAGCCAAGATCGCGCCACTGTACTCCAGCCTGGGCGACAGAGCGAGACTCCATCTCAACCAAAAAAAAAAAAAAAAAAAAAAAAAAAAAAGAAGAAAAGAAAAGAAACAAATAATAAACACAACCTCAGGGCCTGTGAGACTGTTAATAAAAGATCAGAGTGGGGCATGATAGCTCATCCCTGTAATCCCAGCATTTTGGTAGACAGAGGCAGAAGGATTGCTTGAGCCCAGGAGTTTGGGGCCAGCCTGGACAACATAGGAGGGGGCCGGGCGTGGTGGCTCTCGCCTGTAATCCCAGCACTTTGGGAGGCCAAGGCAGGCGGATCATGAGGTCAAGAGATTGAGACCATCCTGGCCAACTTGGTAAAACCCCGTCTCTACCAAAAATTCAAAAATTAGCCAGGCATGGTGGCAGGCACCTGTAATCCCAGCTACTCAGGAGGTTGAGGCACGAGAATCACTGGAATCTGGGAGGCAGACATTGCAGTGAGCCAAGATCATGCCACTGCACTCCAGCCTGGTGAAAGAGCGAGACTCCGCCTCAAAAACAAAAAAATTGAGTGTGGTGGTGCACACCTGTGGTCCCAGCTACTCTGGGGACTGAAGTGGGAGGAACGCTTCGGCCTGGAAGGTCTAGGTTGCAGTGAGCCATGATTCTGCCACTGTACTCCAGCCTGGATAACAGAGCAAGACCCTGTCTCAAAAAAATACATTAATAAATAAATAATCAAATGAACAAATATTCAAAGAAAACTTTCCTACTTGGCAAAATGCATAAAACAATAGATTCAAGAAGCTGAGAGAATTCCAATTGGGATAAACCCAAAGAAGTTCACACCAAGATACATTATAGTCAAACTTCTGAAAACAAAACAAAAAAATTTTTTGAAAGCAGCCAGAGAAAAACAATATGTTACTTATATAGAAAAAATAATTTGAATGACAGCTTATTTCTCATCAGAGACAACAGAAACCAGAAAGAAGTGACACAACACTTTTCCATTGTTAAAAAAACTATCAACTCAGAATCCCATATCCAATGAAAATATCCTTCAAGAATGCTGGGGGAAATTGTAAAATTCTCAAAGGAAGGAAAACTAAAAGAATTTGTCACCAACTAATATGTGCCCAGTTGGTTTTTTACAAAGGTGCTGATGCAATTCAATGGAGGAAAAATGGCTTTTCAACAAATGGTTCTGGAGTAATCAGATATTCATAGGCAAGAAAATGAACCTTGAAATAAATCTTACATTATATACAAAAATTACAACAAGGTGCAGTGGCTCATGCCTATAATTCCAGCATGGCAGGTAGATCACTTGAAGTCAGGAGTTCAAGACCAGCCTGGCCAACGTGGTGAAACCCTGTCTCTACTAAAAATACAAAAATTAGCTGGGCGTGATGGTGCGCATCTATAATTCCAGCTACTTTGGAGGATGAGACACCAGAATCGCTTGAACCTGGGAGGCAGAGGTTGCAGTAAGCCAAGATCATGCCACTGCACTCCAGCCTGGGTGAGGGAATAAGACTGTCTCAAAGAAAAACAAAAACCAAAAAACAAAAACCAAACCAAACCATGGACTTAAATGTACATCATCAAACATTTAGGAGAAAATCTTCTGGACCTAGAGCTACACAAGGCATTTTTAGTCTTGACACTAAAAGCACAATCCATAACAGGAAAAATAATAAAATAGATTTCATCAAAATTAAGCACTTTTACTCTGTGAAAGACCCTGTTCAGAGGATGAAAAGGCATAGAGTGGGAGAAAATATTTGCAAACTACGTATCTGATAAAGGACTAGTATCTAGAATATATAAAGAACTCCCAAAACTCAAAAATAAATAATCTAAATAAAAATGTGCAAAAGACATGAAAAAGCACTTCAGTAAAGAGAATATACACATTGGAAATAAACTTGGGAAAGGATGTTCAATATCACTAGCCATTAAGGAAATGCAAACTAAAACTACAATGGGCTATCCCTGTACACTTATTCCAAATGGCTAAATGTAAACAGTTGCTACACCAAATGTAGAAGAGGATGTGGAGAAACTAGATCACTCATGAATTGCCAATGAGAATGTAAAATGATTCAGTTATTCTGGAAAACAATTTGGTAGTTTTTTTTTTTTTTCCCTGAGACGGAGTCTTGCTCTGTCACCCAGGCTGGAGTGCAGTGGTGTGATCTCGGCTCACTGCAACCTCTGCCTCCTGGGCATGGTGGCGTACGCCTATAATCCCAGCTACTTGGAAGGCTGAGGCAGGAGAATCGCTTGAACCCGGGAGGCGGAGGTTACAGTGAGCTGAGATCGTGCCATCGCACTCCAGCCTGGGTGACAGAGTGAGACTCCATATCAAAAAAAATAAAAATAAAAAAAGAGAGAGAGGAAAAAGAGGTTTAATTGATTCAGTTCTGCAGGCTGTGCAAGCATGGCTCCAGCATCTGCTCCTGGTGAGGGCCTCAGGAAGCTTCAAATCCCAGCAGAAGGAAAAGGGAGAGCAGGGATGTCACATGGTGACAGCAGGAACAAGAGAGCAAAGCGGGAGATGCCACACACCTTTAACAACCAGATTACAGATGAACTCACTCATCACCAAGGGGATGGTGCTAAGCCGTTCATGAGGGATCTGCCTCCATGATCCATTCACCTTCCACCAGGCTTCAACTCCAACACTGGGGATGACATTTTGACGAGATTTGGAAGGGACAAATATCCAAACCGTATCACCATATTTTGTGTTTTGTTTAGGTTTGTTTTTTTGTCACCCAGGCTGGAGTACAGTGGTAGGATCATAGTTTATGGTAGCCTCGAACTCCTGGCTTCAAGCAATCCTCCTACCTCAGCCCCTCGAGTAGCTGGGACTATAGACACGTACCACCATGCTTGGCTATTTTAAACAAATTTTTGTAGAGATGCTATCGGGCAAAATTCACCCCTGATATTTCACGTAGGTTCTTTTCTATTTTCCCTAAGTGTCGGCCGGTCTGAGAAATAAAGGGACAGAGTACAAAAGAGATAAATTTTAAAGCTGGGTGTCCGGGGGAGACGTCACATGTCAGCAGGTTCCGTGATGCCCCCTGAGCCATAAAACCAGCAAGTTTTTATTATCGATTTCAAAAGGGAAGAGAGTGTACGAATAGGGTGTGGGTCACAGAGATCACATGCTTCACAAGGTAATAAGATATCACAAGGTAAATGAAGGCAGGGCGAGTTCACAGGACCACAGGACCGGGGCGAAATTAAAATTGCTAATGAAGTTTTGGGCATGCATTGTCACTGATAACATCTTATCAGGAGACAGGGTTTGAGAGCAGACAACCGGTCTGACCAAAATTTATTAGGTGGGAATTTCCTCATCCTAATAAGCCTGGGAGCGCTACAGGAGACTGGGGCTTATTTCATCCCTACAGCTGTGACTGTAAAATACAGCCACCCCCCAAGTGGCCATTTCAGAGGCCTACCCTCAGGGACGCATTCTCTTTCTCAGGGGCGTTCCTTGCTGAGAAAAAGAATTCAGCGATATTTCTCCCATTTGCTTTTGAAAGAAGAGAAATATGGCTCTGTTCCGCCCGGCTCACTGGCAGTCAAGAGTTTAAGGTTATCTCTCTTGTTCCCTGAACGTTGCTGTTATCCTGTTCTTTTTTCAAGGTGCCCAGATTTCATATTATTCAAACACACATGCTCTACAAACAATTTGTGCAGTTAATGCAATCATCACAGGGTCCTGAGGCGACATACATCCTCCTCAGCTTACGAAGATGACGGGATTAAGAGATTAAAGACAGGAATAGGAAATCACAAGGCTATTGATTGGGGAAGTGATAAGTGTCCATGAAATCTTCACAATTTATGTTCAGAGACTGCAGTAAAGACAGGTGTAAGAAATTATAAAAGTATTAATTTGGGGAACTAACAAATGTCCGTGAAATCTTCACAATTTATGTTCTTCTGCCACGGCTTCAGCCGGTCCCTCCGTTCGGGGTTCCTGACTTCCCTCAACAGATGCAGTCTCACTATGTTGCCCAAGCTGTTCTCAAACTCCTGGCCTCAAGCAATCCTGACATTATAGGAATGAGCCACCATGCCTGGGTGACAGACCACCTTCTGTTTATCCACTTATCAACAGATAGCCATTTGGGTGTTTTTAGTTTTTGGCTATGGTGAATAATGCTGCTATGAACATTTGCATACAAGTCTTTGTGTGGAAAAAAATTTCTTCAGGGTAAATACCTAGGATTGGAATTGCTGGATCATATAGTAAGTCCACGTTTAACTTTTTTTTTTTTTTTTAAATACGGTCTCATTATTTTGCCTAGTCTGGTCTCAAACTCCTAAGCTCAAGCAATGCTTCTGCCTCGGCCTCTTACAAGTGAGTACCACCACTCCTGGCCATATTTAACTGTTTAAGAAACTGCCAGACTGTTTTCCCAAATGGCTACACCATTTTACATTCCCACCAGCAAAGTATAGAAAGTTCTAATTTCTCTATATCCTTGCCAACACTATCTTTTGTCTTTTTTTTTTTTTTTTTGAGATGGAGTCTTGCTCTGTCACCCAAGCTGGAGTGAAATGGCATGATCTGGGCTCACTGCAACCTCCACCTCCCGGGTCAAGCAATTCTCCTGCCTCAGCCTCCCTAGTAGCTGGGATTACAGGCATGCACTACCATGCCCAGCTAATTTTCCTATTTTTAGTAGAGAGGAGGTTTTACCACGTTGGCCAGGCTGGTCTCAAACTCCTGAACCCAAGTGATCTACTGGCCTTGGCCTCTCAAAATGCTGGGATTACAGGTGTGAGCCACCGTGACTGGCTGTGTCTGCCTTTTTCACTCTAGCCATTCTACTGGGTGAGAAATGGTATCTCACGAGGGTTTTGATTTTTATTTCCCTAATGGCTCATGATGTTGAATGTCTTTTCATGTACTTATTGGTCACCCGTATATCCTCTTTGGAGAAATGGTTATTCAAATACTTTACCCATTAAAATAAAAATTTCATCTTTAAGAGCAGTTTCGAGTTCACAGCAAAACTGAACAGAAAATACAGGGTTCCCCCACCCCACACACACTCATAGCCTCCCCCCACCAACAACATCAGGCACCAGAGGATATATTTGTTATAAGCAATGAAGCTACATTGACACACCAGTATCACCCATATCCCATAGTTTACATTAGGTTTCATTCTTGGTGTTGTACATCCTGTAGGGTTTGACAAATGTGTAATAACATGTATCCACCATTATAACATCCAGAGTAATTTCACTACCCTAAATATTCTCTGTGCACCACCTCTGTGCATTTCTCCCCACTCCCAGCCCCTGCCATCTTTTTTATTGTCTCCATAGTTTTGCCTTTTCCAGGATGTAATATAGTTGGAATCATACAGTATGTAGCTCTTTCAGATTGTCTTCTTTCACTTACTAATATGCATTTAAGGTTTCTCCATGCCTTTTCATGGCTTAATAGCTCATTTCTTTCTAGTGCTGAATATAGTCCATTGTCTGGATATACCAAGGTTTATTTATCCATTTACCTGCTAAAGGACATCTTGGTTGCTTTCAAGTTTTGGCAATTACAAATAAAGCTGCTGCTGGCCGGGAGCGGTGGCTCACGCCTGTAGTCCCAGAACTTTGGGAGGCCAAGGCGGGCAGATCACGAGGTCAGGAGATCGAGACCATCCTGGCTAACATGGTGAAACCCCGTCTCTACTTAAAATACAAAAAATTAGCTGGGCTTGGTGGCAGGCGCCTGTAGTCCCAGCTACTTGGAGGCTGAGGCAGGAGAATGGCGTGAACCCAGGAGGCAGAGCTTCCAGTGAGCCGAGATCGCGCCACTGCACTCCACCCTGGGTGACAGAGCGAGACTCCATCTCAAAAACAAAAACAAAAACAAAAGCTGCTGTAAACATCCATGTGCAGGTTTCTGTGTGGACATAAGTTTTCAGCTCATTTGGGTAAACACTAAGGAATGCAATGGCTGGATCTTCTGATGGGAGTATGTTTAGTTTTGTCAGAAAGCCAAACTGTCTTCCAAAGCTGCTGTACCATTTTGCGTTCCTACCAGTAAGGAGAGTTCCTGTTGCTTCACATCCTCACCAGCATTTGGTGTTGTCTCCCTTGCCCATTTCTAAACTTGGCTATTTGTCTTTTCATTACTGAGTTGTAAGAATTTTATGTATCCTAGATACAAGTCCCTTATGGAACATGTGATTTGCAAAAATTTTCTCCCAGTTTGTGGGTTGTTTAGAGGTCTTTTTTTTCTTTTCCTTTTGAGACAGGGTCTCACTCTGTCGCCCAGACTGGAGTCCAGCGGCGCAATCTTGGCTCACCGCAACCTCCACCTCGCGGGCTCAAGCGATCCTCCTGCCTCAGCCTCCCGAGTAGCTGAGATTACAGGTGCCCACCACCATGCCGGCTAATTTTTGTATTTTTAGTAGAGACGGGGGTTTCACCATGTTGGCCAGGCTGGTCTCGAACTCCTGACATCAGGTGATACACCTGCCTTGGCCTCCCAAAGTGTTGGGATTACAGGAGTGAGCCACTGCGCCCCATTTTTTTTTTGAATGTTGAACACAATGAATTTATCATGATAGTGGGTACTTCTGAAGGAGGCAGGGGTATACACAAGGTTAGAATCATACAGGTAGATATCATGGTATAGGTGCTGCGAGAGTCAGAAAACTGACTCTGGCACCAGCTGCCTGGGCTTCAACCCCAATGCTGTAAAGTAACTTAGTCTCTTTGTGCCTCAGTTTTCTCATCTATAAAATGAGTATATCAGCCGGGGGCAGTGGCTCACACCTGTAATCCCAGCACTTTGGGAGGCTGAGGTGGGTGGATCACCTGAAGTCAGGAGTTTGAGACCAGCCTGGCCAACATAGCAAAACCCCGTCTCTACTAAAATACAAGCATTAGCCATGCATGGTGGTGCGCACCTGTAATCCCAGCGATTCGGAAAGCTGAGGCAGGAGAATGGCTTGAACATGAGAGGCGGAGGTTGCAGTGAGCCGAGATTGCACCATTGCAGTCCAGCCTAGGTGAGTCTCACTCTGTCTCAAAAAAAAAAAAAAAAAAGGGTATATCAACACAATCTCACTGGTGTGTTGTGAAGCCTAGCCAAGTTAATGTACCTAGAGAACTAGAGAACAGTGGCTACTAAGGACATCTAAGGACACTTTATACAAACCTTAACTGTGTTACAACTTCTTAAGTCAGTACTGAGGTTCAAAAGCTTCCATTTTATTATTATGCTTTATAATTTATATATGTTACGTGCTTTCTTTTGTATAGCTCACTTGAATATATATATACATTTTAGAAGATAATAAGGAAGAAAAAAAGTATATCTGGTTTTTTAACCCTTCGAAATGGGAAAGTTTGGAGTAGATGCTCAGCCCCGGCCCCTGGCCCTTCCCCAATACTCACAGGCTCCTGTCAACTACACCTTCAGAAAAAGACGGAGCCTCTTAGGCAGCAGTCAGGCAGGTGGGGGCGATCTGTCAGGTGACCTAGACTCTGGGCCATCTCAGTTTCCTCACCTGTAAAATGGGGATGCTGAGGTACCTACCTGACCTATGAGAGCGGAGAACACTGAGATATCTTGCCCATGGCCTGCCCTGTGGTTAGCTGTCGTTTTTTCCTTGACACTTGTAGGCTCCTCTTCATGTTTACATAACCTCAGTGGGAAAACGCCAGCGAAGAGAGACACTCAGAATGGACGATCTAAAGTTCCTTCCAGCTTCCAAATTCTGGGCTGGTTTTCAGAGATCCAGGGCTCGGGATGCGAATGTCCCTGTCTACGATGGGGCTGCCGTTACAGCCTTCCTCCCGGGGCTCTGGAGACGCGCCAGCTCTTTGACACCTCTCCTGCGCTAAGGAAGAGTTGGTTTACAGAAAAGTAAGTATATCCTGGCCCTGCAGAAAGCCGCCAGGCGGCAGGACAAGCCCCACCGCAGCCCAGGCGCCATTATCTGCCTCAGCAGTTACCTCGGGGTCCCGCCACGAGGAGGTTCTTCAAGGCCTGCGCGCCCACGGACACTACCAAGGAGCGCGGCGGGCAGCCGGATAGCAGGACGCTGAGGGAAACCCCGCAGTCGCTCGGCGTCCCCGGCGCCAGCTCACGACCCAGCGACCTCCTGCGGCCCGAGCGTCCCCTGGCGGCAACGCCGGCTCGTTAGAGCGAGCGACAGATGGTGTAGTCCAAAGGCCAAGCGGCGTTTCTGTAGATGAGCATGCGCAGCACCCACCGTTCGCTCAGCCAGAGAGAGGCTTCCCAGCCAATCCGAGAGCCTCAGAGTCATCCTCCCGCCCACCCAGCATACAGGCGGGGCGTTCCTCCTTAGCCAATGGGAAAAGACATTCGCCCGCGGTCCGCACGCGCTGCTTGCAAAGGGGTGGGGTTGTGGAGTGGATGCTTTGGCAAGATGGCGGGGAGCGGCGTCCGCCAAGCTACTTCTACCGCCAGCACCTTCGTGAAGCCCATTTTCAGTCGGGACATGAACGAGGCCAAGCGGAGGGTGCGCGAGCTCTACCGCGCCTGGTATCGGGAGGTGCCGAACACTGGTGAGAGGTAGCGGCTTACGTGGGGACCCGGAGGCCGCCGCTCAAGGTCGTAGCCGGCCCGGCCGGGGTTTCTCATGGGCCCAGCTGAGGTCACCAACTTGGGCAGAGGCGACTGCGGGTGCTTCAGGGGAAGAGGGTCACCCGAGCCTACCATGGGCCGGACCTGGCGGCGGCGCGGTGGTCAGACCGGCCGTGCCTAGCATTCGTACGTGCTATCGGAGCTTTGGTCTCTTTTGTCCTTCGCAATTGGCGGGAGGACGATGACTGTCAGTGACACACTCACTTTGTGGGTGAGGCAGCGGAGGCACCGAGAGGTGAAGTGATGTGCCCAGGGCCCAGGCCGAGCCACTGTTGTACCCAGAACCCAAAGTCTAGAGTTGCAGAGTGTAATTATAGATGCCCGTTGGATTTTTTTGTTTGTGACAGAGTCTCGCTGTGTCGCTCAGGCTGGAGTGCAGTGGTGCGATCTCGGCTCACTGCAAGCTCCGCCTCCCGGATTCACGTCATTCTCCTGCCTCAGCCTCAGCCTCCCGAATAGCTGGGATTACAGGCGCCCGCCACCACGCCGGCCATTTTTTTTTGTATTTTTAGTAGAGACGGGATTTCACCGTGTTAGCCAGAATGGTCTCGATCTCCTGACCTCGTGATCCGCCCGTCTCGGCCTCCCAAAGTGCGAGAAAGAGGTGTTTTTGAGTGAGCTGGAGCACGGTGCCACTCCTCAGGGCTGTCGAGTCCCTGCTTGTGTGTGTGAAAAGGCGGTAGAATGTGGTGGTTAGGAGCACGGACTTTTCTTCAGGCGCTGCCCTCAACTAGCTGTGTGACCTTGGGCCAGTTATTTCATCTATTCCTCAGTTTCTTCATCTTTAAAATGGGAATAATAATTCCTTCTTCAGAAGGTTACTGTATTAAGTTAAAATATCTAGAGTGCTTAGAACAGGACTTGATGCATATTTAACTCATTAAATATTAGCTGCTGCCGTTGTTTTTGTTGTTATTTTTGTTATTTATAGGGCTTTCCTTAGCAGCAGCTTCCAAGCAGAACCCGGTTCTTTGACATATGAGAACTGTGTCTGCTCCACAGAGTCCCTGTCTTCAAGCTGACTTTTGGAAAAATTGCTACTGACCAGAACTTAAACCCACGCGATACTAGAGAAGGAGAAACTTGAGTGATCTGCTGGTTCAGGGACTGCAAATTCAGATGCCTTCAGGGGCAGGCAGATAAAAGATGTGTGTGGGGAGTGACTGTAGCAGTGTGTGTGTGTGTGTGTGTGTGTGTGTGTGTGTGTGTTTCGGGGTGGTGCATTCAAATTCAGCAGTTTGAAAACATAATGTTTGCCTGGCAGAATACTTCTAGGAGTACCCAGAACCCTCTCTGGTTGCAGGAGGAAGGTGCTGGGGGAAGGAGGACCACATTCAAAAAGGGTGGCTTGTGAAGGGTAAATCAGTGGCCAAGTAGAAGACAGAACCCAGGTATCCTGACTCTGAGGATCCAGCTCTTTCTAAACCGACCCCTCCCAAGACCTTCCCTCAAATTCTGTTTTGGGAAGAAAGTCCCAAAGTCAGAAGGGTCTTGAGAGGAGGAAAAGAAGGCAGAGGGCTACAGGAGCCTAGAAAGCAAGGGAAGAGGAGAGAAAAGAAGGGGTCAAGGAGTATGCATCCCTATGGGGAAGATCAGTGATCTGTAGCTGGCCAGTTACTCAAACCTGTGCCACACGGGTTTTATGGTATCCATCATCAGGACTCCAGCTGAGGAATCAAATCAAGGAAGGGGAATAAGTAATAGTGTTGAGAACTTAGAACAGCCTGAGCATTAATAAAAAACAAAAGTAAAATTTTAAGTATTTAATGAAAAAAACAGTAATGATAACTCACTTTTTTTTTTTTTTTTTTTTTTGAGACAGAGTCTCGCTCTTGTCTCCCAGGCTGGAGGGCAATGGCGCGATCTTGGCTCACTGCAACCTCCACCTCCCGGGTTCAAGTGATTTCCCCATGCCTCAGCCTCCCGAGTAGCTGGGATTATAGTTGCGTGCCACCACACCTGGCTAACTTTTGTATTTTTAGTAGAAACGGGGTTTCACCATGTTGGCCAGGCTGTCTTGAACTCCTGACCTCAGGTGATCCACCTGCCTTGGCCTCCCAAAGTGCTGGGATTACAGGCGTGAGCCACCGCGCCCAGCTAATAAAATAATAATTATTTTTTTTGAGACGGAGTCTCGCTCTGTCGCCCAGGCCGGACTGCGGACTGCAGTGGCGCAATCTCGGCTCACTGCAAGCTCCGCTTCCCGGGTTCACGCCATTCTCCTGCCTCAGCCTCCTGAGTAGCTGGGACTACAGGCGCCCGCCACCGCGCCCGGCTAATTTTTTGTATTTTTAGTAGAGACGGGGTTTCACCTTGTTAGCCAGGATGGTCTCGATCTCCTGACCTCATGATCCACCCGCCTCGGCCTCCCAAAGTGCTGGGATTACAGGCGTGAGCCACCGCGCCCAGCCTTTTTTTTTTTTTTTTTTTGAGACACAGTCTCACTCTGTCACCCAGGCTGGAATGCAGTGGCCCATCTCAGCTCACTGCACCCTCCACCTCCCGGGTTCAAGTGATTCTCCTGCCTCAGTCTCCCGAGTAGCTGGGATTACAGGCACCCACCACCATGCCCGGCTCATGTTTGTATTTTTAGTGGAGACGGGGTTTCACCATGTTGGCCAGGCTGGTCTTGAACTCCTGACCTCAGGTGATCCACCTGCCTTGGCCTCCCAAAGTGCTGGGATTACAGGCGTGAGCCACCGCGCCCAGCTAATAAAATAATTATTATTTTTTTTGAGACGGAGTCTCGCTCTGTCACCCAGGCTGGAGTGCAGTGGTGCGACCTCGGCTCACTGCAAGGTCCACCTCCCGGGTTCACACCATTCTCCTGCCTCAGCCTCCCGAGTAGCTGGAATTACAGGCACCCACCACCACACCCGGCTAATTTTTTGTATTTTTAGTAGAGACGGGGTTTCACTGTGTTAGCCAGGGTAGTCTCGATCTCCTGACCTCATGATCCGCCCACCTCGGCCTCCCAAAGTGCTGGGATTACAGGCGTGAGCCACCGCGCCCAGCCCATAAAATAATTTTTTAAAAAATACACTCAGGCACAAGAAAGTTAACTTACACGGGATCATATAGCTAACAAAAGCTGGGATTTGAACCCAGGTTGTTCAAACTCTTGAACAATGCTTTACTGCCTCTTCAAATTCAGTGGTCTTTTTCCCCAAACAAATAATAAGTTCCTTGAGAGCAAATACCATGAATCACATGTCTCATCCTCAAGCACCTAGCCTAGGGTCAGGCTAATTTTTTGGTGAAGAAATGAATGGGCGACCTGTATGTGTTCAATGAGTATCATTTGACTCTAGGTTTTATTTAACCATACAATTTCTACCCTGAGTCATGTTTTTCTCTCTAGTGCACCAATTCCAGCTGGACATCACTGTGAAAATGGGACGGGATAAAGTCCGAGAAATGTTTATGAAGAATGCCCATGTCACAGACCCCAGGGTGGTTGATCTTCTGGTCATTAAGGTAACTGACCCTCCCTGACCAATTTAAAAGATCAGCCAACTTGTCCACTACTTCTTAGTCTTTCCAAATGAACATTTTGTCTCCAAGTTTAGAAAGCAGCTACTGGTTCGGCAGTGATTATTGCTGTGTTTCAGAGAAATACTTGAACTTGGAGGTTATCATCTGGTTAAATAGATAAGATTCATCAAGGGAACATCCACTGGGACTTGCATTTTATAACCATAAAAAAAGATATAGGGAGGAAAGTTTGAACTCTTCTTGAACCTCATCCCTAGAAGTTACCACTTCATCTGAATGCCAGTTTACAGCTGGAAGAGGCAGTTAGGGTGGTTATGAGTCCTGTATAAATGGACTCAAATCCTGGGGCTGATTCTGTCCCCCTGGCCAGTCACGTTAGCATCAATGGGAGCTTCAGCATAGACCAGTCAGTAACAGAAGAAATGATAAGCAGAAACATAAGTTAAGCCAGTCAGGTTAGGTAGTCATGGGATAGGAGCCTGTTAACCTGTATGTTTCTCCTCTTGGTACCAGTTAACCACAGAGTTAAAGAATCTGAAAAGTGTCAGAAATGATTTACCCTGACCACCTCATTGTCCAGACATAGAAACTTTGCCCAGACAGAGTAGTTACTTGCCCAAGGTCATTCAACAAGTCCATGCTGAGCAGAGAATAGAATCCTGGCCTTCAGTGTCATATGCCTTCAACTTGACAACTTTGACTGATGACCTCTCTCCTCACTGTTCAGGGAAAGATCGAACTGGAAGAAACAATTAAAGTATGGAAGCAGCGGACACATGTTATGCGGTTCTTCCATGAAACAGAAGCGCCAAGGCCAAAGGATTTCCTATCCAAGTTCTATGTTGGCCACGATCCATGAAGTCATTCAGTGGAAAGATGCACGTTGATACTATTTTAGAGCACAAATAAACTCACTATACAATGGTCACTTTGTGATAGAATTCCATTGATGAACCAATTTTCTGCAGCCTCTTTTTGCCTGAGCAAGTGGGACCTTGGTATACACATCACCTGTTCTTTCCCTTTTCTTGAAATGTGGTGTTTGCTGTAAATTGGATTGAATTATTTTTCTCAGAGCCTTGCATGTCAGTAAACAGGAAGGAAGGAGGCCATCTGTTCAAAAATTGTGACATTGGGCATGAGGCTGGACGACTTGTTAATGTAGTTGTTTCTATAGCCCCTATGATTAGACACTTTAGTGTCAGGGCACAGATTATCTAAAATTAGCCAGCTCTTCCTGTCAGGGATCAGGGCAGCACTAACAGGCGCAAAAGTAGAGCTGTCAAGATGGGCTAGTTTTCCTTGGGTTCTGAAGAAAATGGATGTGCAAAGGCTTGGCTCCGCTACTTGTAACAAGCTCCAGCCCTTAAAATGAAATTAACTTCCTACTCAGGCACCCTGCTTAGGTGCACAGCTGTTCAATATACACAGAGAACAGAAATATTCCTACTGTCTTTGGAAACCCTGGTGTACCTCTCAGTGGCAGAATAAACATCAACACAGGTTCAAGAACTGATCTCTGTTTGGATGGTGGTCTTCTCTTGTGCTTCCCAGGGCAATCCAAATGATGGAGAAGGGGTTTGGAATCTATAGGTATGATCACTGAGGACTCCCATACTTTTTTTTTTTTTTTAAATAGAGATGGGGTCTCTCCATTGCCCAGGCTGGTCTTTTTTTCTTTTCTTTTTTTTGAGATGGAGTCTCGCTGTTGTTGCCCAGGCTGGAGTGCACTGGTGTGATCTTGGCTCACTGCACCTTCCACCTCCTGGTTCAAGTAATTCTCCCTGCCTCAGCCTCCCAAGTAGCTGGGATTACAGGCATGGACCACCACATCCAGCTAGTTTTATATTTTTAGAAAAGACGGAGTTTCACCATGTTGGCCAGGCTGGTCTCAAACTCTTGACCTCAAGTAAT
Source organism: Homo sapiens (assembly GCF_000001405.40). NCBI lineage: Eukaryota > Metazoa > Chordata > Mammalia > Primates > Hominidae > Homo > Homo sapiens. The sequence continues at coordinate 78 of NW_009646207.1, read as the reverse complement.
CCACCCGCCGTGGCCTCCCAAAGTGCTGGCGTGAGCCACCGCGCCCAGGCCAGTCTTGAACTCCTGGGCTCAAGTGAT